>NC_000010.11:3949393-4100909 GCF_000001405.40 Homo sapiens | reverse complement strand
GTACAAATAATACATTTTTTGTCTCCATATATTATCATCTGTAATCATTTTGCAGACAAGTAAAAATGTTCTATCCAAATTTAATTTAAATTGCAACTTCATCCAAGTGCCACCAATGGAGATACCTCACATTGATGGCCAAGTGAATGGACGGCTCCCACGCCCAGATGAAAACAATGTCCCAGCAATGACAGGTCTGCCAGGACCTATCTTCTCCAATGACAGCTGTGGAGAGCACATGGTTTCTGACATTGACTATAAACCATGACTTGATTTCAGAGGCGTTAAAATATGAAGAAACCACATATTTAAAAATGATAGATGTGGTGAGAGAGGTCAGTGAGACAACCAGTTGCAAAGTATATACAGACAAATCAGTTTTTCTACATGTCAGCAATAAAAAATCATTATATTTTCCTTTGGTGTAGTTAGAAGATGTAGTGGAAATGATTATACTGTTGTAATATTTATGCTATGATAACAATCGCCTCACAATCACAAAAGTGCTTTGCAGTAAATTTACCAAGCAGCTTTCTAACATAAAAAGAGGGGCATCCCCTGAATTTTTCCCCTTTGTCAGGAACTGTGCTAAATGCTCCACAGAGATCATCTCAATTAATCCTAATGAGAACCCATGCAGGAGATGCACCACCTATGAGAAATGATAAAACTGAGGCTTAGAAAGAAGTTAATAAGCTGTGAAAATCATATATTCATGGAAAAGAAAAGACTGCCTTTGTTTTTTTGTTTTTGTTTTTTTTTTTTTTTTGTCAAGTGAAAGCACTCAAGTCTGTTTCTCTTTAATTCTGAAGTTCAAGCAAATTCTCCATAATTATATTGTTTCAATAAAGTATTTCATCTCAGAAAAAGTTGCCAGAAGAAGTTTCTTCAAAAGTTAACAGTCCGGGCACAGTGGCTCACGTCTGTAATCCCAGCACTTTGGGAGGGTGAGGTGGAGGGATCACCTGAGATCAGGAGTTTGAGACCAGCCTGGCCCACATGGTGAAACCCTATCTCTATGAAAAATACAAAAATTAGCCAGGCATGGTGGTGCACACCTGTAATCCCAGATGCTCCAGAGGCTGAGGCAGGAGAATTGCTTGAACCTGGGAGGCGGAGGTGGCAGTGAGCTGAGATCGCGCCACTGCACTCCAGCCTGGGCCACAAAGTGAGACTCTGTCTCAAAAAAAAAAAAAAAAAAGAAAGAAAAGAAAAGAAAAAGAAAAAAAGATAAAAAAAGTTAACAGAGGACCCTATTACTTGCTGGAAATGTTATTTTCAAATTTGGTTGAACTTTCTTAGCCATTACAGGAAAAAAGATTAAAGAAATCAAGTTTTGTTTTAATATTTTTCAAATACTTCTCTGAAACATGGTGAAACTGTTAGAACTTTATGAGACCATAAATCAGGATCAAAAGCCAATAAAGACCTTTTACATTTTTCTGTCTTCAAAATTAGGAGGGTTCCAGTTGCATCTTAAGAAATAATCTGAATTGGTTCATCATTCCATCATCTTTATGGCTAAATGTAACCAAGGCAAACAAAACACCACAATGTGGCACATATCCAGTGAAACTGCAGGCTTCAATGAGGATAATGCATCAATATCAAAACACAGAAAACTGATGAGGGGATGGCATAAAAATGGAACTCCCTAAAGTTAAATGGAAGAAGTTCCAGGGATCCCCTGAACTTTGTATTTTTAGTTTGAATGAGAAATCCCATTAAACTCTTGATGTTGTCATAATTGATTTTCTACGTTTTGTTTCTCAATTTCAGTCTATTCTCAAAATGTGGGATATTGGATTACATGTTTACCGACCGAGTTTGAATGCAAAACTATGTAGAAGAAAAACACCATTGAATTAGGAATCTGATAAGCAGCGGACATCATACATTGAGTGGTTTGAGAAACAAGGAAGTGCTTTCACTCTGTTACCTACCTGCTAGAGTCATTGCAGATCTTATCCAGTTAAATTGCTGCCAAAATTGCCACTTTCTCACACTATCAGCTGCCACTTTTGGCAATTACTGGAGTGATGATAAGTCTATAACTTCCTATAGAACTAGGATTCACCATAACCAGAACATCAACATCACCTTTAAAAACAAATTAAAATCGTCACACAACAAACTCCGAAGCTGGTTCTGTGAAAGGTGTCCTGGAGGTAGAACGTCCATGCTGTTCTCCTGTCCTCACAGCCTGCCTCTCAGGACTCCGTCTAATGCTGCTTGTTGTTACAGCCTAACAAGGAGAGTCTCTTGGGAATCAGCGAAAGCTCAAGGTTTGCATGTGACCAGCTCAATGACAGTGAACTGGGAAACCATTGGCGAAGGCACCCATGGGATACGGCACCCTGCAGAGACGAAGGCAAAAATGGAAACTGTCATCGATATTACAGAGGTGCTGTCTGACAGCCCTGGTATGTCATCATCATCTGGGTGTCCCCACCGCTGAACACAGGGTGAGATTCCCATGCCTTACTAAGGACTTCCTTTTTCTATGAACCTGGTGGGTTGCGATTCAGTCTCTAGGGGACAGGTGTCCATAGTACCAAAATACTGTCCTTATAACCACTGTTGAATTCCTCTGAGACAGGATTTCTGAGGCTGAGACCACTTTTCCAATAATCAGTCTATCTGAAACTAATGCAACTAATCAATTTCTTGCTTATACACAGGATTTTAAACGTCTTCCAGAATAGAAACAAGTGTCATTTATTCATTCGGTGAATATTTATGAGGCTCCTACTGTATGCCAAGCATCATCCTAGGCACTTTGGATTCCACTGGAGAACAAGATAGACAAAGATCTCTGCTCTTGTCGAATTGACTTTCTGGTAAGGTAGAAACAGAAAACAATCAATAAACACAATAAACAAGTAAATCATACAATATGTGAGAAGGTGATAAGTGCTAAGGCAAAAAAAAAAAAAGAGGAAAATAAATAAAGGTGGAAAAGAGGACTTAGAAATGTGAGAGCTTGATTCCTTGGAGATAGCAATACATAAGTAGGGTCTGAAGGGTAGAGCTTCCATTTCTGAGAGCATAACCTTCAGGCAAACCATCAAGATTTTAAATTCAATGGAATGCGAAGTTAAAATTTGACTGTATTCACCTCCTATGCCCAACCTCTGCATCCGACCTCAGGGAAATGCCAACTTCATTCTCATTGCATAAACAAGCAAAGAAGATAGAATTCTATTCAATCTCAAGGGGGATCTGCTCTGTTGCCTTCATATTTTTCTTATAAGGCAACAGGCTTATGTCATTTGAAAGAAATAGAAATTTAGACAATACACCACTGTAACAATCACTGAGATGGTAACTGCCCTTGGAGGAAAAATGAATGAGGACAAAAGCAGGGATTCCACTTGGAGGTCATGGGGCAGGTTTTCATGTTTGTCATAGGGCTGACTTTTCACACTGAGCCTCCAAATAAAAGTGGATTTGTATTTAAGAGAAAGTAAAAAAAGTAATGTTTCTTTCAGTGAATCTTGCACACATTCACACAATAGTTATATGCATATATGTATGTATGTGTATATATATATTTTTTTTTTAAATGGAGGGCACACCAAAATTTTATAAGAGAGTAATGGTAGGGTATATACATATATATGTGTGTGTGCGTGTGTGTGTGTATATATATATATTCAGGACTGTATATGCATATTCAGGACTATATACATATATTCAGGGCTATATATATATCTATATATTCAGGACATATATATATATAGTCCTGAAATAAATGAAATTTATCCCTTGGAATTAAAAAAACCTTAATAGAGGTGATGGTGGGGCATGTTTGACCATAGATTGAAGGAAATAGGCTGACAGGACAATCCGATGGGGCCAGGATTCTGCACGTCAGAATAAAGAACTACTCACTTATTTCACAGCTGACAAACTGAGGCCCTCAGTTCTTGCCTGAGCCCAACCTACACAAGGTCCCACATGGCATAAGCTGAGAGCTGTGAGGCAGTCGGGTGGTTCTTGAGCTTCCTGAACGGCATTGCTGGGTCAGCTCGTCACACTTTGAACCAACTGGTAATGAGACAATGAGCCCAGTGGACCTGGGAAATCTGTTACCGAGAACACAATGGGCAGCAGGAGCTTCCTGCTCAACACTGATTCTCCCGGTCCCTAATCCCGATGAGAGGGTGCAGAGGCAGGGGCAGAAAGAGGCTGCACACAGGTTGTAGCCCCGCCGAGGACAACCCCATCTGACATGGGCTCTGGTCACCCTGCCATCCTCCCCTCCATGGAGAGATGCTACCTGTAGCACACGGAGATGTAAGCACATCTTTTCTGGGAAGGAGAGGAGGTCTTTGTCTATGCTATTTAACATTTAAATAAATCTAAGCAAATTGCTGTTAATGTCTAGATAGGAAGACGTGAAAGATTTGTCAATAATGGTCTCTCAAAAAATACATCCCGGATTCCCACCCCTGACAGGTTGCTGGCAAATGTTCCCACTTGGTCAGCCACTCAATCAATCTGACCAACAATGTGTGAATATGTACACCACCATTCATTTATCCATCCATCCACTGATGGACACAGGTCAATTCCATATCTTGGCTACTGTGAACAGCGCTGCAATGAACATGGAAGTGCAGGTATCTCTTTGACCTACTGATTTCCTTTGGGTATATACCAAGAAGTGGGATTGCTGGCAAATTTTTTGAGGAACTGGATGTGGTTTTCCATAATGGGTGTATGTACAACTTGAATATATTCAATCTTTATTTGTAAATACAATCTTTAAACAGAGCAGGGCCAAATCCACTTGGTTTGCCTCATTTAGCACTTAAGTAAAGCATAATCAACAAAATTGCAACAGGATTGAAAAAGTTGTAGATATTCAGGTTAATAGATGTACATTGTGTAGAATATAACAAAAGCTGAAAAATTTTGTCGAGCTGAACTGATATTTTACTTTGCATGGGGGATGTATTTTTTAATCGATTCTACTTATTTAAAATTGAAATGTTTATGAAACTGCACTTTGCACATATTTCACAACTTTATATGGATTATCACAGCCTATTTATAGGGAGATTTCTTACATTAAATGTTTCTAGGCTGGCTGTGAGGAAGACTGAGAGATCTACAAATTCAATCTACATATTCATTCCAGTGGTATTTATTAAGTGTTTGCAATGTGCTAAGTACATTATAAATCATGTGAAGTCCTCCAAGCCCTAACCTAGTGAGCCTTTATATGCAGACACAAAGGCAACGAGTGGAAATAATGCAACATGTTATAACACTGACAATCGCACCTAGAAAACCTCACACAAATGGGACCTTTGTCTCTATCTTTATCATTCCTTACCGGAAAGTTGTTGTTATCCATATCTTTAAGTTCAGCTATTTTTATTAAATGCAAATCTTAGCCTATCCCACTTAGAAATTATTTGAATGGCTGTTCATGACTTTGAGAATCAAGTTCAAGTTTCTTCCCATGGTGGAATGAGTCATTCCATGTTTCTCCTCATCCCCATTTCCATTCATTTCTCCATTTCTGGAAATGCGATGTGCTATTTCATGCCTCTGGGCTTTGCAAATGCTTTCGTCTGCCCAGAATACTATTTCCTCCTTAAAGGCTAATGGGATTCTTTTTCTCACTCTTAAGACACTTTAAATGTCATTGTCTTTGATTCTTCCAGGCCTTTTTGAGATTGTGTCTTTTCTTGCTCGTTGTACCTTAAATTTGCTTATAGATTGTACATAAATCAATGAATTATAGCTATTTTTCCAATTTGATTATTGTGGTAAAATATGTATAACATAAATGTATATCTTAACCATTTTAAGTGTGTAGTTCAGTGTTATTAAATGCCTTCATAATATTGTGCAACTACCAACACCATCTATCTCCATAACTCTTTCCATCTTGCTGAATCAAAGTTCTATATGCATTACGTGACGACTTTCTCTTCTGCTTTCTATTTCAATGATTTTGACTACTCCAAGTATCTCATGTAAATGGAATCCTCAGCATTTGTCTTTTTGTGAATGGCTTACTTTACTTAGCATAATGTCATCAAGATTCATCCATGCTGTAACATATGTATGAATTTTCTTCCTTTTTAGGATGAATAATATTTTATTGTATAAATAGACCACAGTTTGCTTATCAATTCATAAGTGAATAGATATTTGGGTTGTTTCCATTTTAGCTATTTTGAAGAGTACTATGAAAATGACTATACAAGTATATCTTCAAGATCCTACTTTATTTAATTGATTTATTTACTTAGAGACAGGGTCTTGCTCTGTGCCCAGGCTGGAGTGCAGTGGTGCAATCATAGCTCAATGCAGCCTTAAACTCCTCGCTCAAGGGATCCTCTAACCTCAACCTCCCTAAGTGCTGGGATAACAGATGTGAGAAACCATGCCCTGCCAAGAGCCTGCTTTTAGTTCTGTTGGGAATAAACCTATAGGCAGAATTGCTAGATCACAGGGTAATTCTACTTTCAGCTTTTTAAGGAACCGCCATGCTGTCCTCCACAGCGGCTGCACCATTTTCCATTCCCATGGACAGTGCACAAGAGCTCCAATGTCTCCACATCTTCACCAACACATTTTGATTTCTGGTGTTTTGATAGCAGCCATCCCAATGGGTGTAGGGTGGCATCTCATGGTAGTTTTGATTTGAGTTCCCTAATGATTAGTGAGGTTGAGCATCTTTTTAGGTGGCTTTTTGCTGTTAGTGTATCTTCTTTGGAGAAATTCAAATATCTCTGTCAGTTTTTGAATTAGGTGATTTGTTGTTTTTAAGTTATAGCTATTTTTAAAGGTACTTTAAAAATAAAGTGTAAGCTTATTGAATGCAGGAAGCATAATTTATCTGTATGCATATCTCAGTAACTAACACAGTACTGGGTACGTAGTAGCTAATCCATTAATATTTATTAAAAGAACAAATAAATGAATGCACATGCAGGATTGCAGTAGTATTTGAGTAAGAGACCCCATTGTTTTCTGTTGTAAAAAACAGACCACTGCCCAGGTTTTCCCCTAAATCCAGCCTTCCTTTCTCCTATAGGGAAGGGATTTTTGTGAGAGGCCTGATCCCCCAGCTGTAGACGAAACTTCCACCCTCTGCTCAGTGGAGACAAAGCTTCCACCCTCCGCTCAGTGGAGGTACCTTCGTAATGAGGTTTGGGTCAGAGAATGTAAATGGATAAAGTCTGTGAAATGTCAAGGTCATCCTCAACACAGAGGCAAACCACTTGGCTGAAATAATGCTCTTTCCCTTTTCTGCCGCCTGGACCTCCAGCAAGCTAATGACTCATATTTGATAGATGCCACAAAGCAACTGGGTAAAAAAGCAGGAGTCCTAGTGTAGATGTGTGGGGCAGGACCCACACCTGTGGCATCAGCCCCTTCCATAGGATTAGAAAGGAGAAAGACGCTCTGTTTTTTCTAAGACACTGGATCTGAGGTCTCCTCCTTCTCACCTGATACAGAAGAAATAGTCTCCACAATACATGCCTCATTTTTTTTTTTTGGCAGAGTATTGCTCTGTTGCCCAGGCTGGAGTACAGTGGTGAGATCCCAGCTCACTGCAACCTCCACCTCCCGAGTTCAAGCAATTCTCTTGCCTCAGCCTCCCAAGTGGCTGGGATTACAGGCGTGCACCACCACACCCAGCTAATTTTTGTATTTTCAGTAGAGATGGGGTCTCAGCATGTTGGCCAGGCTGGTCTCAAACTCCTGACCTCAAGCAATCCACCCGCCTCAGCCTCCCAAAGTGCTGGGATTACAGGCGTGAGCCACCATGCCCAGCTGTGCCTCAAATTTTTATCTAACTTTCATTAGAATGCTTCCAGTAATGTTTCCTATCTCACGTGATAGCCTGTTCTAATGTTGGAAAATAAATATCAGGGTCTGTTTATATCTAAATTATACATCCTTATAATTTCCACTGGTTGGTCCAGTCACAGAGCCTGAAGCTCCCTGGCTCATATGGCAGAGCCACACTCATTACATGAAGAGCACTGTCATCATCCTGGTAGCCTATGCTCTTCTAGACCATAAAATCACGGACTCTGAGCCATTTCTCCCATTATGACTTTCCCAGATAATTTTTATGTTTTCACCAGCATTTTTCAAGATTTTGTGTGTTTCAAAAAAGGCTACTTCCTGAAACTGATTTAATTGGGGCATGAACCATGCCTAGAAACTGATAGTACCATATATCGGTAGAACGTCTTACATTTTTTTATTCATTCAAGAAAAACGTATGGGATGTTTATTAAACGGTGGGCATTCCTTTGGGTGCTGGAGATGACTGGGACAATTCCTGCCTCCCAGAAGCTCGTCAGCCACAAAGAGAGTAATTTTTCTTCAAAAACACTAGAACTGATCAATCTGTCTCTGGCCCTGCAGAACAATAGTCAAAAAGGAAGTTTTCTCTGCCCATAAATATCAACAAAACTCAGCTTTCACAGCCTAAATGTCTTCCAAATATGTTTCTCCATTGTGCTAAAATTGACTTTTTTCAAAGACCAAAATATAGCAAGATGATTGTATTTAAAAAAAATCTTTCCAAGTCTATGGCCATCAAATGTCCTTTACGTTTCTCTACATTTGAAGGGATCAAAGGTCATTTACAAATAAACACACGTCTCATGGCCATGTCTCTACAATTTTCTCTGCTGAAATCTCCATTCTCTCAAGTTAAGGTATATGTGTGTGTCTATAAGTTTGTACATAAAAATACAAATATGCACACATATATACACGCATGTATATGTATAAACAATATTTATATATATTTATATGCATAGAAGGAAATCAAGCATTTAAAAATAAATTAAATCTTAGAAATCATCCAAGAATTTCAAGACAAAGACTTCTGAAAATGGCTGGACACCTACCTATGAGGCCACTGTAAATTTTGATATATACCATTACAGAACTAATAACAGGATATGGAGTAAACTGAAACATGGAGGATCATGCCAGTCCAATATTGATAGATGTCTTTTAAAATTGTGCCTGTAATCCTAGAATTTATGCTCACAAGGAAAACGACAATTCAAATAAAGAACTATATGCTATAGTATTCTGCTTTCTAGTCATACAATGTGTGCATACGTGCTGGGTGCATCCAATCCAGTGTGTTCCCCAGTTCAGTTTTTCAAAAAGCCTGACCTAGTGGCTGTGTCAGAGGGCCTTCTGAAAGATCTCCTCCAATGAGTATTGTAGCTCAATATTCAGACAGATCATCACCAAGAAAATGATCTAGTCCATGAATGGTTCTATGCTTCGTGGACAGCAGTTAGTCCCAGCTTATCATTGGGTTATGTTCTAATAGTTCACCTTTAAGTAGTTACTTTTTTTCCTTTCAATTTTATTTACACATGCAGGTGTGTTACATGGGTGTATTGTATGATGCTGAGATTTCGGATACAGATCCTGTGACCCAGGTAGTGAGCACTTTACCCAACAGGTAGTTTTTCAGCCCATGCCTCTCTCCCTCCCTCTCTCCCCTACTAGTCCCTGGTGTCTACTGTTCCCATCTTTATGTCCAAATACCTCATGTTTTCACTTATAATTCATTTCTTTTTATTTTGTGGTGTGAAAATTGCTATACTGAAAGGTTTATTGAACTCATAATTTTCTGGATTGTGGCACAAATATTTTAATGCCATGTATCGCATGCTTCCTCTAGAAAACAAGCCTAAAACACAGTGACAAAACCTTCTCAGTAGTTGAGCCCCAACGGGGGAGGGAGGAAGCAGTGGAGGAGTAGAGGGGCCTCCGGGAACCCAGTGGTCTGCAGGAACTAAACGTTCTTTCTTAGGTCCCTCCAGGCACTGTGCTTTTCTGAATCTCACACTAAAGGGCAATTATTAACTTCTTGGAGGTTGACCACCCCCAGATTCAGACGCTTTGTCTGCTGTGCCCAGGAAAGAAGATAAGTCCCATCCCAAGAGTTCGTAAGAGGGATGCCCAAGGAAAGCACACAACACGCCCACAGGGTCTTCTGGCCTCTTCAATTTAGATTGACTGGAATATTTAGTGAATTAATACAATTTTAATTTTATTCTGCAAGAAAATTGCTTAGAATTCTGGTTACTGGGAGAGGTAATTCACATAAAGAAATTAAGCCTTTTTTTTGAGATGGAGTTTTGCTCTTTTTGCCCAGGCTGGAGTGCACCAGGCTGGAATGCAATGGCGTGATCTTGGCTCACGGCAACCTCCACCTCCCGGATTCAAGCGATTCTCCTGTCTCAGCCTCCCGAGTAGCTGGGATTACAGCCATTGCGCCAACATGCTTGGCTAATTTTGTGTTTTTAGTAGAGACGGGGTTTCTTCATGTTGGTCAGGCTGGTCTCCAACTCCCGACCTCAGATGATCCACCCGCCCCTGCCTCTCAAAGTGCTGGGATTACAGGCGTGAGCCACCTCACTCGGCCAAAATTAAGGCATTTTGCGCAGAAAAGATCGAGATCCCAAAGGCTTCCTTGAGAATTCAGACTTAAGGAAACTCCCTGAGGTGGACAGATTTGGCTCACACAAAGGCCGAGGTGGAGCAAAAGCATCTGAAATGGAGTCACAGTTGGGGTGGAAAGAAACAGGACCCAGTGAGTAGGGCCTCACCCTAAGCCTGAAGGTTGAAGTAGGATGGCTTTGGGTCCGTGGTGTGGGCGTGCTGGAGCCTCTCTCAACCTGGGTATCCAGCCCCGTGTCCTGGGGACAGTGGCTGTGGGAGAAGATTTGAAGTGCACCTGAGCTCATTTCGGGCATGAAAATATCCTTGACAAAGTAAAACAGTGACTTTGTTCAGGACCAGTTCTGCACCAGTGTCAGTGACAGACCAGAGTAAAAACCTCAGCAGAATTTGGGAATCTGGTGCCCTGCACCTGATGAGCAGCTGTAGGTGGTGTATCCACAGCCCAGAGGCTCCTTAGCCAGGCTTGGAGTCAGCTACAGAACCAGGTCTCTGCCCTGCAGCATCCTACTGAGAGGCCTCACGTGTTTCTTGGGACTGATGAAGTCCTCCAGCCTCATGGGGTATGTCTGCTTTCCAGCTCCCTGTGAACGTGCACGAGAGGCAACCTCAGGACTTCATGAGGGTCTCGCGGGAGTAGAACCTGGAGAGGAAAGAAGAGCATTCTCCGGAAAAATGAGAGGAGGCAATGGGGATGTGTGTGTCCTTATTGGTGCGTCCAGGCTAATACATGGGATTATTAGCTGCATGACCCAAGTATACTTTTAATTAATGCCAAACACAAATTATTAAGTTACTTTTAACCTTTTAATAAAATGCTTAACCAATAAATTAATTGATAGAAAAAAAGAGTCTGAAAAACAAAACACCCATTAAATCCAAATAAAGCAATTAACTGATTCTTTCACTGACTCTTATTTTGTCACCATATACAGATGTTCTAAGACGCAGATCCCACTCAAATCTCTAAATATGCTTCTACTGGTTTAAGAGAAATATTACTTATTTTAATTAAGATTTTTTAAATATAAGGTCACACACCCTGCCCTTTGCCATCGTTTCAGAATGATTTATTTGTGTTTCTGTCTGAGTATCGGTGAGCAGTGCTTGCTAACACCTTACATTTTTCTGTACCCCTGAATATTCAAACACCAAAAGCCTTGTAGAGACATCCAAGTGCACTAGGGGATGTCTTCATTTTATTGGTCTATAAAATGACAGACAATATATCAATCTGGAAAATGACTTCCACTGTTGGATTTCACAAGATTTTATACTGTGCCTTCTTTTCAAAACTATTTTCATTATTAAATTAATATACAGAAAGTTTGGAAAAGATTGGAGGAGAGCTCCCATTATTCCCCCCACCCTAGTGGAACTGATGCTATCTTTTCTGGCCATGCTTCTAGTTTTCTTTCTTGTGTGCTTATCTTTTACAAAGTTGGCCTAATACATAAAAGCCAATTTGCATCACGATTCTTCACCTAGCATGATTTTCATTCTAGCCACGCCTCTTTTGTTTACAGGCAGTAGAGACTTACCCAGGCTTGTTCAGAAAAATGATGATGTCGGCAATACAAGCTCAGCACCCTGAGTTCCTGTGGGAATATCAAGGTCAAGGCTACTTCCCTCATGGTGCTGTGAGGGTGGAGAGTGCTCCCATCTCTGTTTCTTTCCGTGTGCCCGCTCCACCCCCTCTCTCAGCATTCTTCCCTAATATCTTGACAAGCGTCCGATGATGTTCCCATAAGAGTTGACTTGGCTTTATTAGCCCATTATTAATTGAAATAGTTTAGATATTCGTTCCCCCAAATCTCATGTTAAACTGTTATCCTCAGTGTTGGAGGCGGGGCCTGGTGGGAGGTGACTGATCGTGGAGGCGGGGCCTGGTGGGAGGTGACTGATCATGGAGGTGGATTTCTTATGAGTGGGAGGTGACTGATCGTGGAGGTGGATTTCTTATGAGTGGGAGGTGACTGATCGTGGAGGTGGATTTCTTATGAGTGGGAGGTGACTGATCGTGGAGGTGGATTTCTTATGAGTGGGAGGTGACTGATCATGGAGGTGGATTTCTTATGAGTGGGAGGTGACTGATCGTGGAGGTGGATTTCTTATGATTGGCTTATCACCATCCCTCCTTGGTGCTGTTTTTGCAACAGTGAGTGATTTCTTGTGAGATCCGGTTGTTTAAATCCAGAGGCACCTCCCCCTACCCTCTAGCTCCCATTCCTGCCATGTAAGACACCTGCTCCCCCTTTTTCTTACCCCATGATTGGAAGCTTTCTGAGGCCTCCCCAGAAGCTGATGCCAGCCCTATGCTTCCTGTACAGCCAGCAGAACCATGAGACAACTAAACCTCTTTTCTTACTAATTACACAGCCTCAGATATTTCTTTATAGTGATGCCGGAACAGCTTACTACACCATCTTGTTTCCAAGGGATATTAAGATGTTTCAGATTTTCCTAAAGCAAGATTTGCTCTATTGACCTATCTATCATCAATCTGTCTATATATTTATATCTATAGATATCTCTCTATATAGGTATCTGTATACACACGTACATATGCTTCTCAACTTACAGTAAAGTTACATCACAATAAATCCATTGTTAGTTGAAAATATTTTAGGTTGAAAATGCATTTGATATACCTCATCTACTAAACATCATAGCTTAGCTTTGCCTACCTTAAACATGCTCAAAACGCTTCGATTAGCCTACAGTTAGTCAAAATCATTCAGCACAAGCAAGTGTTAAATATTTTATGTAATCTATTGAATACTGTGCTGAAAGTAAAAAACATCATGGTCTCTGTAATCCCAGCACTTTGGGAGGCCAAGGTGGGTGTATGTCTGAGGCCAGGCATTTGAGACCAGCCTGGACAACATGGCGAAACCCCAAAATCCCACCTCTACTGAAAAAAAAAATTAGCCAGGCGTGGTGGCGGGTGCCTGTAATCCCAGCTACTAGGGTGGCTGAGGCAGGAGAATCACTTGAACCCAGGAGACAGAGATTGCAAGGGAGATGAGATGGCGCCACTGCACTCCAGCCTTGGCAACAAGAGTGAAACACTGTCTGCAAAAAAAAAAAAAAAAAAGAAAGAAAAGTCGGCATGGTCATGGTTATGTGCGTTGTATGCATACTATGGTAAAGTTGCAGTTTCTGACTTGTGACAGTTCAAGTTACAATGTTTTGACTTTATGATTACACCTATGCAACCACTCTGTTCTTCACCATCAGCACAGCATTCAATAAACTACGTAAAATATTCAACCCTGTTTTTATATAAAATAGGATTTGTATTAGGTGATTTTACTCACCTGTAGGCTAAGGTAAGCGTCCCGAGCACATCTAAGTTAGGCTAGGCTGATCTACGCAACTTGATGAGTTAGGGATATTGAATGCATTTTTGACTCACTGAGAGAGGGAGTTGGTGAGTTTAATGATGGGATGCCTAAGAGGGAGCCATAGACTGGCAAACTTAGTTGGATTAAAAAAACAGAAAAGGTAAGGAAATGGACCCACCACTACTAAATGATCTAGAGTATCTTGGTTGAGAAACAAAAGCAGTTTGAGAAATGAGATAAGAGTAGAAGAAGAAGACGTTGTGAGCTTAGGGAAGGGGAGTAGTGCTGGGGTTCCTCCGATGCTCCAACAAGGAGTAAAGGAATGAGATGAGGGAGCGGGGGAGGCAGAAGAGGGACGGGATGATTACAGGAGGAGGAGGGCAAGGACAGGAGAGAAAAGAGGTTGCCTGGGACAGACTTGCACGGTTGTGAGAAAGAATGTAGAGAATTGCGGCAGTAAAAATAGAAACTCCTGGGAAGCCTTATGAATGGGGCTGGGATTGTTTAGCTTCATGAATGGGAGTGACGAAAGCTTGAACAATAACGACCTGGAGCCTCCTAGGAAGGAGAAGGTTTGTGGGTCTGCTGGGAGGGTCTGGAGAAAAGCAAATATTATGTCCGCACCAAGCTGAAGGGGACACGTCTTTCACACGCTTGGAAATGGGAAAGTGGCCAGGTTGGATAAGAGTCAAGAAGGAGAATGAATTTTCAAAACCATTGAAATGTCTTGACTGGGACTTGGCAATCGGATGGAATCACTCTCTATGTTGGGAAACTCGGGTGAAAGGAAGTGATATAAGGAGAAATGAACAGTTTTGTTAAAAATGACATTTTTCTCCCTGTCATCCATCCAAATGATTCCATTGTCAGTGATATCCCTTTCCTCTGGCCTCAGACCCTCCCTTCACATTCTGTCCCCTTCCTCTGTGGCTTCTTGCAACCCAGGCATGCGTCATTTTCTGGCTGTAAATCATGCACTTTTCTCTGTATTGCTTTTGAAATGTGATGGATGAATTCTGTCATGTAATTAGTTAGAAGGGGTCCAAGTGTCACCTCTTCCTTCTTTTTGCAGATCCCTCAATTCAATGTATACAAAATATTTACCAAATAATCTGAATTGTCTGGTTCCAGACATCGTTTGATTTACAAACATTGCTTTAGTGCAGGTTAAAGTGAATGAACAACTATCTTTCTTATGTCCATAGATATCTGGATTATAATTAAATCTAATGCAGTGGCATTGTTAAGGACCCTGATCTATATATAGGGGGAAGACAAGGGACCACAGTCCTTCAGGGAATATTGCAACATGCCAATTATTTCTATCATGTGCAGGCATTATAGTGCATAAAATTCAAAATCCCAAGTAAGACGTCACCTGTGCCATCATCTCAGATGAAGACTGGAGTCGCTACTGTGGTGTGTGTCAGGGGCAGCACTGCATTCCGCCTGCCTTGAATTTTCGACAGAGGAGGCAGAGCCTAGGAAAGGTAGAAACATGGGCTTTCGATTGCCATAAGGCTCAATCAAATCCTAGCACTACCTCTGATTGCACACGGAAGGGGAAGTTATTTACTCCCTCCGAAACTCAGTTTCAGTGTTTATAATACTGAAATGCGGTAACTAATATCGACTCCATGGAGTTGGGGCAACAGTTAAGTAAGAACACATGTAAAGTGTTTAACACACTATATGGCTTATAAAAATAGCTTAATAAGTGGGAGTCATGGTGATTTCTTAGTGTAATTATAATTAAAAATAAGTGTAAAGAGGCCAGGCATGGTGGATCATACCTGTAATCCCAGCATGTTGGGAGGCCGAGGAAGGGCAGATCACTTGAGGCCAGGATTTCGAGACCAGCCTGGCCCACATGGAGAAACCCTGTCTCTACTTAAAAAAAAAAAAAAGAAAAAGAAAAGAAAGTTAGCTGGGCATGGCGGGTGGCGGGCACCTGTAATCCCAGCTACTTGGGATTACAGGAGTAGCTGGGATTATAGCTACTGGAGAGGCAGTAGAGTTGCTTGAGGCAGGAAAATTGCTTGAATCAGGAGGCAGAGGTTGCAGTGAGCTGAGATAGTGCCACTGCACTCCATCCTGGGTGACACAGCAAGGTTTCGTCTTAAAAGAAAAAAAAAAGTGTAAAGGTAATTTTCAGGGCTTTAACAGTTCTGGTAGAATGTAAATAATCATCAATAACCCATAAGGTCCTTTAGTCACAAAATGCTTCTCAGTAGCTAGGGTACCTTCTCACCGGTTCCTTTGTAGGGAGTCCATCATCACATATTTTTATCACATTTAACCTGAATGTTGCATCCCCTAAGTTACAAATTAAGTTTTATTCCTCCATGGATTTATGTCATGGGTAAGACTGATCTATAAATTTTGAGTGCCGAGTTACCTTTTGAGGGTAAATGTATCCTTCAAACCCTGCTTTTTAATGTGAGAGTACTGGTCAATCTATAGTTTGGGTTTTGAACAGAGGACTATGCAGAGACGTCTTCTGCTCTCACAGTGGAGGACACAGAGCATTTCTAAAGACACATCCCATGCAGTTCCTTCTAGAACATCTGGCTCAAATGACACATTTTAATCAACATAATTTCTTCTTTAATCCCATGGATTTTTTTATTTTTTTTTTCTTCCTTTATTATATGGCTCTAATACAATAATAAAAACCTAAGAGAAAACAAGTATCAGCTTTGAAAAGCATAAGCCCCAAATTCACTAACTTATCCAAATGTCAAATTGTTATTTTATTATACATTAATGAAATGAGCTGAATGGCAAATTAATTAGAGGAGGTGAACCAAGATATATTAAAGCTAAAGAAATTTAAGTTTATATTTTTATTGCTTTGTATTTTTAAAAAAGAAACAGTTTTCAAGCAGCTAGATATGTGGTGATAATTAAGTACAAAACTGTCATAATGTAGGCAATTAACAACAAAAACAACAACAAAACCTTCACCTTAGGAACATTTTATGTTGTTACCCTAAAATCTCAATTCCTGATAGACATTACAAAATGTCAGCACGGCCCACATTCCTGAAAGCTCTTGAAATGATGAATGCAGTATCGAGAGGAAAGCTGAGAGGGTGAAAGATCACTGCACATCCCTGCACTGGCAAGGCACCCATACAAGAGGAAATCTGTTTATCAATGCTGATTGCTCCTGCTCTGCTAAAGATGCCAAAATTCAGCAAGAGTTGCAGAGAGCTGAAAGTACACAAAACAAGTCAGTTACTTTGAAATCCTTGAGCCAGAGCTAAGCCTACCTCAGCTCACATCCTAAAAACATCCAAAATGCAATCCTCTTATGCAATCTTGGCTCTTAGAATTCCCTTTGGCAGAATGAGGAGGGCCATCTTCCGTTTGCCAGGAAAATGCACTTCAAAAGCACAGCCTACCCCGCTTTCTACTATCTTATTTCAAAGCTCTGGTGCTTATCACTTGGACCCCTGCCTAGAGAACATTGTGAATTCCCATAAAGATGCATTAACACAAGATAGAAGAATCTGCCAGTCTGAAGGCATCTGCTGTTTGTCAGCTGTCATTCCATGAGAGTTTATCTTCTGGATGTCAATGGCCAATGGCACTGGCCTCACTTCTAAACATGAGATTAAGGCTGAGATCCCAGGTCAGGGACACAAGCTGACTTCAGCCTTTTCTTGAATCTGGACTTTGCCACACCTCCACTCTGCGATAGCACACCTTCACAGCTTTTGTGAGGTCACAGCATCCACCTGGATTCGGCACACACGTTGATTTTCAAGGGCCCATCACAACTTGCAATTCTGCATAGGTGTTTTCTCTAAATGGTAATAATAACGCATGAATTATTATACTATTGCTGCTTGACAGCCCTTTTCCTGTGTGTAGTGGTTTTGGATTATGGCCCACAAAGGCCATCAATTATGCTAGAAAACTAAGGAGCTGGGGGAAAATCACAGGGCAAAATGCATTTTGAGAGACATCATTGTCTAGACTCAAATGTCAGCCTTGGCACCCTCTTCTCAGCCTGGCCTAGATCCACTGTTGGGCAAGTTGATTCTAAAAGGTCCATTTCATTCCCCTCCATGCAAAGCAATGGTAAACAATCAAGTATGTCAAAAATGTTGTTGAGAGTGCATGTTTCTTTGGGAGTGATTACATCTTAGCCGTAGCTCATGAGACTCAGGTCTGGATGGAAAAACTTTTCCAGTGGAGGATTTACAGAGAACAATATAAACATAGATGACAAAGCAAAACAACAAGACAGTTATCTCACCTTACAAATTACATACATCATGGCTAGGCACAGAGGCTCATGCCTGTAATCCCTGTAACTTGGGAGGCCAAGGTGGATGGATGACTTGAGCCCAGGAGTTCGAGACCAGCGTGGACAACATAACGAAACCCCATCTCTACAAAAAATACAAAATTAACCTGGCATGGTGGCTCATGCCTGTAGTTGCAGCTATTCAGGAGGCTGAGATGGGAGGATCACCTAAGCCCAGGAGGTCAAGGCTGCAGTGAGTCGTGATCACGTCACCGCACTACAGCTTGGGGGACAGAATGAGACCCTGTTACACACATACACACACAAATTACAAATTACATACATTAAAAAATGCCTTGTATGTATCTCTATGAATTGAGATTTTGAGAGAATTTGTTTTCTTCTGTACATTTCTCTATATTTTCTAAGTTTTCTATAATAAATAAGCAGTACCTTGGAAATTCTTGTTCTGACTTTTCTTAAACAAAAGATATGTTGAAAGATTTCACCCAAGTGCGAGCTTTAGTTGAAATATAGAATCTGAAATAAAAATTAGAAACATGGTTTCATAACAACTCACTTTAACCTATTTTCTAGAAACAGAATGAGGAATCTATTAAAAATTTTAAAATGAAATTTCAAATTCATACCAGATGTTTTCAAAGTAATAAAATACTACTCTTAAATATCATCTTTCTAGTCTTAATTTTTTGGATGTTTTATTTTTAAAGCCAGAGCTTTTTTTTTTTTTTTCTGTGTAAGTGGGATTGGAATGCTGTTCATCACAAGAAAACTCAAATTTTTTAGATCTTAAAGATAGAGGTTGCACTGTGTGACTTCCTTAATTACACATTAGGAAGTGGAGGACCAGAGAGCAGCAGTGATCTGAGGTCACTTCATAAGCAAGGCAGGGCCACAGCTCGAGTGGGCTTGCTCCCTCTCCACACTCTTGGCCTGGGTTTTGCTGCGATTCTGGCCAAATCTCTAGACTGCCTTCTATGTAGCAGTCACTGGCTAGATCCTAAAGGCTTTGACACAAAACAGGATTGGAAGTCGTCATGAGGTCATTAGTTGCCTCTCCCACGGCATGAGGGAGGAGACCGCTTTGACTTATCCACACAGCCACTGATTTGCAGGGAGACTCACACAGACAACACTATACACCCACCAACACAAACACACTCACCACACACACTGCAAGGGTTTACTACTAACTCCAAACACATGTATTTGGAAAACTAAAATACATACAAAGTTTCCAGAGTTCTACTTCTAACTAGAGGGGTATCTGCTCCTGAGGTTGTGGGGAGTATGGGAACATCCCTTAAATGATGGTTCTCACTTAAAAGGATCAGATAAAGTCCACTGAGAGCACTCCTTTTTTTTTTTCTTCTTTTTCAGATGGAGTTTCACTCTTGTTGCCCAGGCTGGAGTGCAGTGGTGCAATCTCGGCTCACTGCAACCTCCGCCTCCCGGGTTCAAGTGATCCTCCTACCTCAGCCTCCCAAGTAGCTGGGATTACAGGCATGCATACCTGGCTAATTTTGTGTTTTTAGTAGAGACAGGGTTTCACTATGTTGGTCAGGCTGGTCTCGAACTCCTGGCCTCAGGTGATCCACCCATCTCAGCCTCCTAGTTCTGGGATTACAGGCCTAAGCCACTGTGATATAATCCCTGCCTCTTTTCTTTCCAGTCAGAAAGGTGGTGTTGCAGATATAGTGGAAAAAGTAAGGATTTGGAAACCTAAGGGTGACAATATAATACATAAACCTCACTTCATTCAAAAGAATGTTTGCTCTTGAGCATGTCACTAATCTCTCTGAATTCATATTTCTGTAAAATGAGGACATTACATTTCTCCCTGCTCTATCATAAAAATTATACATGCTAGATATATATAGCCTATTATGGGTTGAACTGTGTCCTCCCCAAATTCCTGGGTTGAAGGAGGTCATCAGGACCTCACAAAGTGACTGTATTTGGAGATACCGTCTTTAAAGAGGTAATTAAGGTAAAATCAGGGCGATGGGGTGGGCCTTAATGCAACATGGCTGGTATCCTAGTAAGAAGAAGAGATCAGGATATCAGACACACGTGGAGGGAAGATGACCCGAAGATATAGGGAGAGTATGGCTGTCTGTAAGCCAAGGAGAGAGGCCTCAGGAGGACACAACCCTGCCGACACCTCGATCTCAGACTTCCAGCTTCTAGCATTGTCAGGAAATAGATTTCTGTTGTTTCAGTCGCCCAATCTCTGGTGCCTTGTTACAACAGCCTAGCAAACAGATGCACAGATGTTCACAGAATAAGTGCTCAACAAATCACAGAGGCTATGTTCACCATGATTATTACAGCTTTTCATTGGTAGCGAAGAATGTTGGCTCTGAACTGTACATTAGTGACCAAAGATGAGAGATTTTTGTAATTCAAATTGCAACTCACTTTATTCACTTCCTGTTTACTCCATCCTTGCAAAGAGTGTCACATTTAAGTTTCCTGTTTTTACAAAAATTGTATTATTATTATCCACAAAGTATTTTTCTTTAAATTTTTTTTGTACAGAGGAAGAAAATAAAATTGTACCAGGAAATGAAAATCAACCATAAATTATATAAGAATCTGCACCAACAGCTAGAAAATTAATTATATCATAAAATCCTACCCTCACCATATGAGCTATTGAGGTCTAGTAAATCATTTCACACTAAAGGACTTCAGCCTCCTCGTCTCTAAATTATGGAATTAGGTCGAGTCTCTAAAATTTCCTTCATCTCTGATTCTGAGGCTTGGTATTTAAGACCTCACTTAAAGTAGCAAAACAAGAACATCCACTGATATTCCGGTACTCCAGCAGTGACATACTGGATGACTGTCAGCTATAGCCATTGTCTGGAGAGGAAGTTCAAAGACTGAATAAGAAGTTAAACATTGGAGATCGGGACCAGCCTGGCCAACATGGTAAAACCTCGTCTCTACTAAAAATTAACCAGGCATGGTGGTGGGCCCCTGTAATCCCAGCTACTTGGGAGGCTGAGGCAGGAGAATCACTTGAATCTAGGAAGCAGAGGTTGCAGTGAGCCGATATCGCACCACTAAACAGCCTGAGTGATAGAGTGAGACTCCATCTCAAAAGAAAAAAAAAAAAAGAGTTAAACATGGAAGAATGGATGCTGACCAAGTGAAAAACATCTTTCTATTTTATCTTATGGAGTTCAAGTTTGGTAAGAAAAAAAAAATGTGTTAATTAGCGACCAATTTCTGAACGAAAAAAATATATACCATCATGCATTGCTTGACAACAGAGATAGGAGAGATGAGTTCTGCAAAATGTGTCATTAGGTGATTTCATTGCTGTGGGAACACCATAGAAGGAGCCTACAACAGCCTTACCTGGGCTCTTGTCCCTGGCTACAAACCTGCACAGCATGCAACTGTAGTGAATACAGCAGGCAACTGTCACTCAATGGTGAGGATGTGTGTGTCTAAACATATCTAGACATAGAAAAGGTACAGTAAAAATACAGTATTAGAATCATATGGAACCACTCTTGTATATGCCGTCCCTCTTGGACTCAAACTGTGCTATGTGGTACAGTACTGCACGTACACGTACATAATACACTTTCTACAGCTGTGCTCAGACCCTGTTCAAGGTCTCGGACATGATTTTACTGATCATCACATTTTTATACAGAAAGATGGCTTCTCTTTTAGAAAACATTATTGCCAACCAAAAAACTTTCCCCAGTTAAAGACATATAATATATATGTAAATGTATATATTTATACATACACATGTGGTTCTATGCATACATGTAATATATGATATATTAAGGCCGATATTATGGACATTATAGATAGCATCGTATATATATATATATATATATATATATATATATATATATACACACACACGTATATGCAATTTAAGTTTAGAGTTAAATAAATCTGAGTTAAAATTGAGGTTCTGCTATGTAATATGTACATGCCATGAGACAATTAGTTTCCACTTATTCTCATCTGTAAAATTATAATACTGCTTAATGAAAATATCTCTGTGAAAAATAAATATGGGTGTGAAGTGTTTAGTGTGTGTCACATAATATACATTCAATTATAGTTAAATGTTAATTATTATTATTGTTGTGTTATCACTGTTTCTTCATCTTTTGGATAAATAATTCCAATATCTGTGAATTGGGGATAATCGATTACTCCAGGATAGAAATGAAGAATCTTTGTAAGCAGCCAGCCCAGTGCCAGGCAAATAGTGAGTCCTGCCTAGATACACTTTCCCCTTAGTCCTTCTCCTCATTAGAGGAAGGGGAGTCTCCTAAATAGGTCAAGGAAGGGGAACACACCTGCCTGTTCCTCCAAAAGCCTCCAACTGCTCAGCTCTGTCTCCAGGCCCCTGGGTGTCTTTTGCTGGGTGCAGCCTGCATCAAGGTGGCCACAGCTTCTGCCCTGGGGCAGGTGTTTTAATCAGAAGGGAGCTCCAGCTTCTTTCTCATTTTAGGAGTCCCTTCCCTTCCCTTCCCTTCTGTCCCCTCCCCTCCCCTCCCCCCACCTTTCCTTTCCTTTTCCTCTTTCTTTCTCTTTCTTTCTTTCTTTCTTTCTTTCTTTCTTTCTTTCTTTCTTTCTTTCTTTCTTTCTTTCTTTTTTTCTTTCTTTTTCTTTCTTTCTTTCTTCTCTCTCTTTCTATTTCTCTATTTCTTTCTTGCTCTCTTTTTTCTTTCTTTCTATTTCTCTGTTTCTCTCTTTCTTTCTCTCTCTCTTTCTCTCTCTCTTTTTCTTTCCTTCTTTTTTGAGACAGAGTCTTGCTCTGTTGCCCAGGCTGGGGTGCAGTAGTACAATCTCGGCTCACTGCAACCTCCACCTTCCAGGTTCAGGCGATTCTCCCACCTGAGCCTTCTGAGTAGCTGGAAGTACAGGCATGCACAATCACGCCAGCTAATTTTTTTTTTTTAATTTTTAGTAGGGATGGGATTTCATCATGTTAGCCAGGCTGGTCTCAAACTCCTGACCTCAAGTGATCCACTTGCCATGGCCTCCGAAAATACCGGGGTTACAGGCAAGAGCCACTGTGCCTGGCCAGGAGCTCATTTTTCTTACCAATTCTACTTGAATATTTACATGGATGCTTTTCCTAATTTGCCAGTAAGATCTGTATAATACTGGAGAGTGAAAGATTCTTTCTCTTCCAATGTTTGTTCTACAAGTTGCCCTGCAACCGATTATCTCAGAAACACTTGATTTTTCTTTCTCTTTTTCTCTTATTGTCTGTCTGTCTCTCTCTCTCTCTCTTCCTCTCTCTCTCTCCCCCCGTCTTTCTCCAACATTCCTACCACCCCTACTTCTGTTTTGGTGATGGAGTGGCTTTATATACCTGCGCTGCCCAACACACTAACAACTAACCACCGATGGCTATTGAAAACAATTTTTTAAAGATTTTAAAGTTTTACTGTCTCGGTCACATTTTTCTCATTTCTAGTGTCCCAGAGACATATGTGGCAAGTGGCTCCCATATGGGAAAGCACAGATAGGGAAAATTTCCATTCACGCAGAAAGTTCTATCTGACCACCCTCTCCCAGCCTGTTTGGGCCGTTAGGTAGGAATAGAGCTTGGAGGCTGAGGATTAAGTGAGGAAGTTGCTATTGTCGCATGCAAGCAGCTGGCATTGCCGCCTGTGCCATGAGGCTTGCCTCTCGGACTCCAGCCAGAGTGCCTCTGTTCAGTAGTTTTAACAGTCGTATCTGTCTGGGTTAGACTGCAATCATTCCAAATTCAGTTTAAGTCAGCTTTGAGATACGTACACCAAAACACTCGATATAAGCCAGAGTTAGATTAATGGAAATATGGAAGCAGAACAAGACAGGAGATGTCTGGGCCACTGAGTGCCACTCAGACAGCCAACCAAAGATCATGTTCATTTCTGAGCAGACAATCGAATCAGAACCCTGGCTCTGGGACCTGTTCAGAGAAAAACAGAACTAAAGAGAGGACAAGGGAGTGTATGGCACAAGATGACTAAAGAAAGTCTAAGTCTTTGATCTCAGAAAGAGAAGTTTAGAGGCACCTGATACCTAACTTCAGATAGCCAGCAATTTGCCATGACAACGATGAACCCTGCTTGTTCTGGGGCCACAAAACAGAACTGGGAGGAATAGCTCAGGCTGTGCACAAATAGATTTTCTGGCTAATACAAGGAAGGACCTTCTATAATGGCCAGTATTCTCTGAAAATAAAATTGAACTTCTCAGGGAGGTTTCAGCTTCTTTTGAAGAATTCTTCAGGATGGAGAGTCAATGGTTAAGACGCTTGAAGGTGGGAGTTGAGCCTCAGACTTATCTGGATTAAGAGTAAGGACTGTCGGCAGGGTGTGGTGGCTCATGTCTGTAATCCCAGCATTCTGGGAGGCCAAGGCGTCAGATCACTTGGGGTCAGGAGTTCGAGACCAGCCTGGCCAATATGATGAAACCCTGTCTCTACCAAAAATACAAAAATTATCTGGGTTTGATGGCAAGTGCCTCTAATCCCAGCTACTCAGGAGGCTGAGGCAGGAGAATCACTTGAACCCAGGAGGAGGAGGTTGCAGTGAGCTGAGATCATGCCACTGCACTCCAGACTGGGTGACAGAGGGAGACTCCATCTCAAAATAAATAAATAAATAAATACATAAGAGTCAGGACTGTCACATCCCTTTCAGGTCTGTGTTTCCTATGCCTGCATCTTCTGGAAAAGCTCTCACTATATCTAAGCACTAAACAAATTCATGTCTCTGAAAGAGTCCATCCAAAGTTTGAACCCCAATGCCGTTCAACACCTAATGGTATAAACAGGTATGTGTTCAACACACAAAATCTCCAAGGAACTAGTGTTATCTCAATAACTCACAGGGATCTCAAGAAATGACTGCCAGTAAAGATCATCCTTTCAGAGAACTTGTATTTGTGAGAGCATTTTCTTCTTAGGTCATCCTAACTAAAAGGAACGGAAGGGAAAGGAGGGGCGGGTGTCTTAGTTTTCTGGGGCTGCTTTCATGTAGTACCACAAACTGAATGTCTTAGAAGAACCGAAGTTTATTGTCTCACAGTTCCGGAGGCTGGAAGTCCAAGATCAAGGTGTCAGCAGGGTTGGCTCTTCCCGAGGGTGTGCAGGAGAATCTGTTCATAGCTCTCTCCTGGCTTCTCATGGTTTGTTGATGATCTGTTTCATTCCTTGGCCTGGGGAAGCATCACTCTGAACTCTGCCTGTTCCCTGTGGGTGTGTGCATGTCTGTCTCTGTGTCTGAATTTGCCCTTTTTCTAAGGACGTCAGTCATATTGGATTAGGGCTCACCTTCACGACCTCTTTATTTCATTTTATTTGCAACAGGTTCTTGCTCTGCTGCCCAGGCTGGAGTGCAGTGGTACATTATCAGCTCACTGCAACCTCTGCCTCCCCGGCTCAAGCATCCTGACCTCTTTTAATTTGATTACCTCTGTGAAGACCCAATCTCCAAATAAAATCACATTCTGAGGTATTGGGGGTTAGGACTCCAATATATGTTTTTTTTTTGCGGGGGCAGGGGGACAAAATTTAATGTATAACAACAGGAAAGTGAAACAGTCTTACTATATACCCAGAGAAAACCACAAGAAAATAAACAGAAAGTAACCTAACTGTTAGCTTTCTATAATGGAAAATCGAATCAAATAATTTCCTCACTTAAAACACTTCAGTTGCTTGTCATTGCCCTGGGAATCAAGTTCAAATGCCTTCCCTTGCCTCCGGGCGCCTGGCTCTCCATGGCCTGGTTCCTTTTTACCTCTCTATCTGTATCTTCATGCGTTCCCCTCTGCACACTCAGCTCTGGCCTTGCTCACTGTCTGGGTTTCTGGAATGTGCCTTGACTTGCCAGCTTCAGCACTGGGAACACTGGTGTGCCTCTGCCGGGAGCATTTCTTTCCCACCCTGTCTGCACCTGAAACATCCTATCCTTTTGGGTGCAGCTTACAATTTTCTTACCTACCCATAGACTGGGCCAAGCACCTCCACAGGGAGCAATCACAGCCCTGAGTATCCAAAGGGTGAGACGAAGCTCCACCCTAAGCCTGTGCCTTATATCCCCAACCTGAAACAACCCCATGTGCACTAAGTGGTCATGAGATCAGCAAACTGGGACAAACACTCACCGGAACAAGCCAGCAGTGAAGACAAGCCACATGCACAGGCAGCCACCCTGATGAATCTCAAGCTCACTATGTTAAATCAAAGGAGTCATACGTAAAGTGCACATGGTGTGATTCTGTTGATATGAAATACAAATGCAGGCACAGGCAGTGTTTGAAGAGTCCATGAAGGAACTTTCTAAGAAAATGAAAAAGTCCCTTATCTCATTCTGGGCTTTGCTAACATGAATATATACAATTGTTCAAAGTCATCTAATTGGACACTTCAGAGAAAAACAATTTAATATTGACTTTTTACTGCACTATCTTTCTCTAAGCATCTCTCCCCAACCTGATAAGGCATTTGCTCTCAGCAGAGGCCTATAGAAGTCATCCATGCCTCCAGTTTTTAAAAGCAGCTTTTCTTGCCATGTGTTGTTCTAAGCTGCCCCTCTGGGTGTGACTTCTGGCGGCAGCTTCTGGACTGACACATTCATCCAGGCTTCCAAAGCTGGGCTGCAATGGCCTCAAGTGATGCCTCTGTTGCCTGCTGAGTAACCAGGCTTGTCCTCACCAGACCTTTAGAAAACACTGGATCTCAACTCCATTTATGGGAATTATTCCACTTCCTGTTAGATTGCATTTGGGAAATAATTTGGAGTGCCACCTCCCAGTGGTGTTTTTTATTCCTTCTGACTAAGCTTCTCTCTGGATTCTTGGTGAATGCTCAATATCTTCAAGGAAGGAAGGAAAATGATAGATAGAGGAATGATAGATGAATGCACACATAGAAGCAAAAGCTCCAGTCCCTCTCAATATGTTCTTCCCTCCATTCCTCAGCAAAGCACCATGATTCATGAGCATAAAAGGCCCTAGGAAGAATGTTTATGTTGCATCGTGTCATACATGATATTACATGGTTTCCCAAAGCACTATCAGAAAACTGTATAGACTAAACAGATACTGACAATAAATGGATGTCGTACAGACAACATAGAACTCTCGCCATTTTAGGTACTCAATGGGAGGGTTTAAATGGGCCTTTAAAAATCTTCAGAACACCAAGATTTAAAGAACGACTGTGACACTTAAGCTGTTCAGCCCATTGTCCTACCTTTAGGAAGTGGATATGTTTCCTCTAGAGTCTTTCACTATCATATTTAAAGAAAAGAAAGAAGGGGCTGCAATAAACACCATACATTATTTACCAAAAAAAAATTCTGGGAAAGGTTGTTATAATGACTCTATATCCTTGCATAATTTCTCACGTGAATCAGTCAGGGGCCCAATCCATTAGAATGTTAAAGGGATTCAAAGAGAGGAAACATCAGGTAAGGTAAGATATATAATCACACCTTTTTTTCGGTGGTAAGTAATAGAAATCTAACTCAAGCAAGCTTAAATAAAAGCTTAAAGAAGTAAAAGCTATGGTTCTAATAAAGGAGTTAAATCTGACATTCAATAGGACAAAGGAATCTTTCTAACCTACATATTTTTATGTGGTCTTTGTGATAAGAACAAAGCATGTCTGGGGAGCTACAAAGGTACAATTATTACTTAATAGGTCATCTAGAAAGAGCTAGAGGTAAAACAAAAAGGCTTTTGGTAAAGCAAATGAAATAATCTGTCAGTGATGGGTCAGTATCGGTCACCCACTGGTCTCTGCTGGGGCAGACCCATGCTTCCAGATGCAGTGTTGGAGAAGATTTCACCGCACGATGTGAGTCAGTGCAAGCCTAAGGGTCAGTGCCCGAGAACATGCCCAGGGATGCAGAGAGAAGCCAAGAGTAGACCAAGTTCACATCCCAGAAAGAGCATTCCTGTGATGGAGGGGCAACTGCATTGTGAATTATGATCAGTATTCTCGATGCTAAGATGAAACTGTTCTTCTTTCTACAACTTTATTTCAACCATATCTGTCATTGCCAAGAATATTTGATGACTTATCCCCTTGGGCAGTTTCAAATGGCACAGGGGAAATGGGAGAGATTCCATTTCTATTTCTCTTTCTGCCTCCCTTTCGTGGGCTAAGCCCAGAACCCTCCTGGGCTAAGCCCCAGCTTTGGGGCTGGCCTGTCCTGCATCAGTTGAATGCCTGTTTATTTTCCAAATATTCCTGATTTTTTGGGTTGGTCATGGTGGAGGGTGGGATGATTGGGGAAAAAAAAACACAACTTTTTTTTTTTTTTTTGAGACAGAGTCTCACTCTGTCACCCAGACTGGAGTGCGGTGGTGCAACCTCAGCTCGCTACAACCTCCACCTTTCATGTTCAAGACATTTTCCTGTCTCAGCCTCCCAAGTAGCTGGGATTACAGGCATGTGCCACCACACCCAGATAATTTTTGTATTTTTGACAGAGTTGGAGTTTCACCATGTTGGCCAGGCTGGTCTTGAACTCCTGAGCTCAAGTGATCTGCCCACCTTGGCTTCCCAAAGTGCCGAGATTACAGGCGTGAGCCACTGCATCCAGCTGAAAATCCTTTCAAAAATGATAAACAATTGAAAACTTTGACAAAGTTTTAAAATATAAAATTAAAACTCCAAAAATGGTGTCTTTTTTTTTTTTTTTTGGAGGTGGAGTCTCACTCTGTCACCTAGGCTGGAGTGCAGTGGCACGATCTCATCTCACTGCAACCTCCACCTCCTGGGTGCAAGCAATTCTCTTGCCTCAGCCTCCCAAGTAGCTGGGATTACAGGCATGCACCATCATGCTCAGCTAATTTTTGTATTTTTAGTAGAGATGGGGTTTCGCCATGCTGGCCAGGCTGGTCTTGAACTTCTGACATCAAGTGATCTGCCCACCTTGGCCTCCCAAAGTGCTGGGATTACAGGGGTAAGCCACTGTGCCCGGCCAAAAATGGTTTCTTTACAGTCAGGTTTCTATAAAAAGCTAAGAAATTGTATTGTCAAATTTTACATCTCATGAACAGATCCATATGTTGTGTGTTTCATAGAAGGCATGATAAAAGACAACACCTCAGCTTTTAGAAATTCAGACATGGTGATAATAAAACATGAATGGAAGGTTTTCCCGTTTTGTTTTCCACTATGCTTTGAAGAGCACTGGAGCACATCGCGAATGTGAATGGCTGCCCAGCGTTCCCTGTAGCAGCTCTATCAGGGCAGGAAACGCAAAATAATTCAAAGAAGCTTGAAGTTTCCCTGCCATACATCCAAACACACACACAAACACAGCAAACGTGGAAGGAATCTCTACAGAAGAATGCGGGAAAAGAAATGCAAGCCTCTGGAATTCCTCCACAGGATGCTTTCATATTTTTAGATGTCTACTGAAACCTTTAAGATTATCCAATGCAGACCACCAGAAACCATGCGCAGAAAAACATCAGAAATGCCCCTGTGGATGTTTTCTGTCATGCTTCTGATCTTATGCAGTCTTTTTGCAGTTAGAGAAAGAGGGCAGAAGAAGACTTGATCATGGAGCTTCCTGTGGGTCATTAAAGTCTGTTGAGAATGGTGAAGGGCTGGCTGTGATTAGAACCTTCCACCCTAGGACTTAAGATAAGGCAGTGGGCGTCTGCGTGGCTCAGCACATAGGTGGGTGAGGCAGTGGGTGGCTGCATGGCTTAGTACATAGGTGGGCTTGGCTGCGGCAGATGCTTCTCTTGGCCTTGCTCTAGAGCTGTGCTGAAAGCTGGTGGAGGTGGGTCTGGTTTACTCTTACTAGAGCCCATGTTTACAATGGAGGGTTTTAGTAATTTGGCCTTTTGAAAGCTGTAAAAAATCATCTCATGGAACCCAAACAAGGCTGATGGAAGAGACTTTTGGGCTGTCTTCAAAAATATCTGCCAGCCCCTGTGTCTGTGCTGAGAACACAGAGGTGTTCCCTGGAGGAGCCCCGTGGCTGCCTCACTTGGCCACTGGAACCATGCAGCTGTTGGTCCTCCAGTTAAAGTGCTCAAGTCCAAATCTACTTTACCTCAATGTTGGGTAAATTAAAAGGTAAAAATGTTTGTAAATGAACTCAAATAAGTGGAGAACAGAATGTGTTTTCCAAGGAGAGTTTGTTTTACTGGGTAGGTTTTCCTATCCTAAAATGTCAGAGCATCTACAGAGGACACAGTGGTTCCACTTAGTGATATTTGATTATAAGTGCTTTATGATTTTAAGTTGCTTCACTGTTGCAACATATATGCCATCAAAAGTTTTTACTCACAAATCATTTTCTTTAATTGATAAAAAAGTTAAGATAGTTCTCCATGGAATACAGGAGATATGTTTAGCTACGAGAGGAAAACTCAATGGATGTTTTCCCACATTTACTACTTAGGACTTTGGATGAGTTCCAGGGTCTGAAAACTTACAAGTTAGAAGCAATCATTCTTTAAGGAAGTTTATTTTGGGAAATGTGCATAAAGTCTCAAACTCTGAGTCCTGGTTATCAGCATACTTTGTCCTATGATGAGTATATTTCAGAATCCTTATTTATCCTAGTTTTTTCATTGATAATTGCTACTCTTGCCTTTAAAAAGTGATTGAGGAAGCTATCAATGCAAGTTAAAGGTCATCAAGAATTAAAACAAAAATCATAAAATGAAGGGAAAAGATAGTTGTTACACTAAAAATAACTTTTTAAGAACACTGACAGACACCACTCATTGAGCATATATGACAGGTTAGACACAGCGACAGGCTCTCTTGCGTGTTCTTTTAAATCACTGCAACCACAGTAAAGAGGCATAGTTATCCTCGTGTCAGGGGATGAGAATATGATGCTTTTAAGGAGAAGCAAAAGGATGTGAAGAAACAAAGGAATGAGCCACAGGAAAATCTGGAAGAAGAACATTCTTGGCTGAGAGACCAGTCCTGGAAAAGGCCCTGAAGTGACCAATTTTTGCCATCATTGAGAACATCAAGAAACCAGTGTGGCTGAGTTGAGGGAAGGAAAGAGAATGTAGGAGAACAAGCCTGAGATGCCTGAACAGGCTCTGGCATTTCCTGTGTTGAGACAGGAAGAGATTGCAGAGGTTAAGCCTAGTGGCATGATGGAACTCTAGTTGCTTACTCTGGATGCTGTGTGGAGGATGCCTGTGGTGGAGCAGTGTCGGGAGGGAAAGAAAGTGGGAAGGCAGTCAAGGGCCACTGCAACAGTCCAGAGGGCAAGTAATGCCTGCATGAACCCAGCAAAGCAGCCGTGCAAGCGGAGACATGCCATGGATTCTGAGTCTCTTTTCATAGCTAGAGCTACTGGGAGGGAGATAACTCAGAGGTGTGAGGAGAGGAATCAAAGCTAGCCTCCTGTTCTTTGGTCTTTGGAACAGGAAGGAGAGACTTGTCTGTTCGTGAGATGGAGACGACAGTGGAAAGAGCCAGTCTGGTAACACTGGGAATCTATCTTTGGATGTCACATGTGTGAGATGCTGATTATGTGACCAAGGCAATGGCAAGCAGGTGATGAAGGGCACAAGCCTGGAGATCAGGGTTAGGGTTAGTGCTAGGGTTAGGGTTAGGGTTAGGGTTAGGGCTAAAGTCAGGGCTATGGTTAGGTTGCTAGGGTTAGCATTTGGGGTAAGTTTAGGGTTAGGGTTAGGGTTAAGGTTAGGATTAGAATTAAGGATAGGGTTAGTGTGAAGGTTAAAGCTGCAGAGGTAAACCTGGAGTCTAAACCTGAGAAGCCAACTCTACTCAATGTAAAGGGGCTAGATCTGACCTGAAAGAGAGCAAGTTTTAAGGACTAGGCTCAAGCATTTTTGTGAGTTGTGTAGGAATTAGTGATCTGAAGATGTAGCCTCTTAGGTGACATGAGTCTGTGCAAGAGAGCATGCTTTGTGCATGGCACTGAAGTGAAGCATCTTCACACATAAGCAGTGAATGCCTGGGCTGAATTCCACTGGCAGTTCAGAGCTGAGGATAATGGGGACCTGATGTTTTGATTTATCAGCGTGAGTGCTACAGGTTGACTTACCCAGTCGCTTTGAGGGTATGTCCTGAGGGCAAAAAGTCTGATTTGGGAGGTTTCAAAAAGAGGAACTACAGATCGCAAGGATAGAAGATGGGACCATGAAGAAATAATGCAGGTAAGCAGTCGTTAGTCTGAAAACTGAGAAGGATTAACCAACGTGTGACAATAAGCAGAAGATGTATCCTCAGAATGAAGGGCAGCATTGTAGGAAGGAAAGACAGCCAGCAGCGTCAGCTCAGGCTGTGGCCCTGGGAAGGACAGCCTTAGACACTGCCTCAGGGCTGGCAATTGTGACGTGACTCACGATTTTTAAGAGAGCAGTTTTATTAGAAGAGGGATCCAAATGGTAGTAGAATAAAGACTCTCTGGGAAGTAAGAGTCAGGGCTTCACAGCTCAGTCTCTTTCATGAAATTTAATATCAGAGAGAAAAGAAGATTAGGAAGTATCTTTGCAGGGATCTAAAAAATGCCATTACTTTGTATATTATAGGATGCATATATTTTCATATTTTAACAGCTTTGAAAGCAGAATGCATCTTACGATTGATGGCTTTTTTCTACTTTAATTGGCAGCATGTTTGCTTTCTCTGTGGTGCATAATGCCATGGTGCATTTTGTTACTGATATTGCTTTAGATGTCATAAAATATGAGTGGGTCATGAGTGACTAAGCTAAAGAGAGGAAACTCTCTAAGTGGATATGAGGGTGAGAGAGAAGGAAGTGGAAGAGGTTATTTGGAAGGGTGTTATCATTCAGTAAACATTCGTTGAGTGAGAATATTGAAAGGGATAGTGGGAGTGGATTTTTAAATAGAATCGTATGTCCAGAACTAGAATGAGGGAAGCAAGACAAGAGGGGGCTGATGAATGAGGAGGAGCCGGGTGACCTAAAGACTGGCTGCACAGTGAAAAGGAGCAATGTGCTCTGCCAGGGTGAGGACACTGGCAGGGAGAAGGGGCTCAGGCATGTGTCCCAAGAAAAAGGAACTTCTGAGATAGAGAAAGACAGGAGTTACTGGTAAAGGGGAGGGCCAGGGCCTGTCCCTTGAGTGGATTCTAGAAGTGAAACAAAGGTTAAAGTTGTGGGCGTGGAGGAAATTCATAAATTTTGAAGGTAGGGTGCTGGGTGGGCCGTTGACATGCACATAGGTGAGTCATGGCATGAAATATCAGAGGAAACCCGAGTGTCCCCAAAGTCCTCGAGGGCCACAGAAGAGTGACCCAAATGTAGTAACAGTGACAAGCATATGAAGAAATGGTGAATTTTAAAAGTGAGTAAGGAAATGGATTTACAGGAATAAATTCCTAGGCAAGGCAGGGAATAAACTCCTACACAGCAACACCTGTGACCCCCTCCTTGGGCTCCTTCACTCCTCGTGGAAACCCTGCCATTTCCTTTACTGTCTTCAGCTCATGGACAAGAAAACAGGAGCTCAGAGAACCTATGCAACTCATGTCCTATTTGAGGAGTCACTTGGCTTGGAGGCCTCTCCCCCAGAAGCCTGTGTTCTCAGACAGGACTTTGCTACTAAGTCAATTCTGCAATGAGATGGTCTCAGATGAATCAGCTACCAACTGAGAAACAGGAGTCACTCTTGGGGACAGAGGTAATTTCTCAAAAGGGCCTCATCTCCAGGGACTGTGCTCAGCCCACTATCTGCCTGGAGCTGCTGCTATAAACTCAAAGACTGTGCAGGGCAGGATCAGACAGGACAGGGGCCCCTTTTTGCTTTAAGCACTCTGAGTTTGCTTTCTGTGAGCTACATGGATTGGTGCTTGAAGGGAGTAAATATGCATGTCCCCTGCCCCACTCCACCTCTCTCCAGATACCTCCCTGACAGATCCCACTTAACTTGTTTATCAGATACCGGGCAGACACTTGCTGTGAGCATCTCTGAGAGCCCCAGGGCCGCTGGTGGTAGGTGGGGTGCTCTGGGGACAACTGCCCAGAAGAAGGGAGCTGACATCATGGCTGGGAGCATGAATATCTGGGGTCCTTGGTCTACTAAAATATTGAGTAGTATTCATAGTGAACACAAGAAAATGCTAAATGAAGTGGCATTTGTCACAATGATGAAAAGATGGCATAAACCACTGTTGGTGTGTCATCTTAGAAGCAGTGTGCTTGTTTTGCTCATAATCCCAAAACGTTCTGTTCTCTCTGGCAATGAATGTTGTGCATCAGTCAACGTCGTGTTGTCGTGTTTTCCTCTTGATCCAGCGTTCATTGCTCCTTCCATTGTCTCAAACACAAACCACCAGTGAGGTGGGTCTCTTTATTAGTCTTTTTGTAAGAGACAGGGTCTCACTATGTTGCCCTCAAACTCCTGATCTCAAACTCCTGGCTTTGATCCTCCAGCCTTGACCTCCCAAAATGCTGGGGCTACAGGTATGAACTACTGCATCTGATAAGTCTTATTTTCAGAGGCATTAAAGAAAAATGTTTATTAAAGTTCATGTAGTTAGTAAGTAGCAGAATTTGATCTGGATTCTAGGTCTTGAGCTTGAATCTGGGTTTTTCTCAATCCAAAACTCCTAGATCATTAAACAATATCACCTCTCATTAGTTGTAGGCCAGTATTCTTAGCCACATTCCTTTACTCAGTCCAGCAATGTAAATATAGGCGGTCCCATCACCAAAGAAATTAGGGGAAAAAAATAGTATTACTCTATTAATGCTGACTAGGAATATAGGGTGCAATCATCAAAGCTTCCAAAGTTCAAATTAAGGTGATATTAAATAATACAATGTTGCATGCTTAATAAAAATGAAAACTGTTCGTATTTATAGTTCACTAAAACCAGCCTAACTCACACTCGCGTCTCGGGTTTATCCAGGAATCACATTCAGGTGGGAAAGTTTGGGTTAAAGATCCATAAACACAGACTCTGCACTTATGTTATCCTGCTTGAAACATTTTCTTGGGGCTACCTTTTGTCAAATAAACTCATGGTATTTTACACTAAGACTCTGTGTGGCAACTCTACCGTGGTGCTCATGACAGCAGCCTGTGGGCCTGCTCCATGTGCTGTGCGGGGCACGGACCCCAGGACCTTAGTGCTTCCTCAGAGGCCAGCCTGTCCACGGTTGCCACCCTGCATTCTCACTCCTGACATTGCCAGACATGCCGAGGGGCTGGATATCATTCTTTCTTGCATTTGTTCACCAGGCAGCAGAGGAGCTGGGGCCCACAGGAGATGGTCGGAGAGGGAGTAGGTATGAAGTTCTATTTAATCTCACCTTGATAGGAAGTATGATGTCAAGCCGCCATGTCAATGCAGGGGCAGACACTGATGATGAGAAACGAAAGGAGAGGCCACTGAGGGAAAGCCAGAAGGGAGACAGTTTCGCGGCATTCTTTGTCCATTCTGGCTGCTGTAACAAAAGACCAGGACTCTGTAGCTTATGAACAACACACTGTATTCTCAATGGATTCCTTGAGGCTGGGAGTCCAGGATGAAGATGCTGGCAGATTTGATGTCTAGTGACAGCCTATTTCCTGGCTCATAGATGACATCTTCTCCCCATGTCCTCACAGGGTGGAAGGAGTGGGGCATCACTCTGAGGTCTCTTTTATGGGAGCAGTGATTTCACTCATGGGGCCCCAACCTCATAATCGCATCACCTCCCAAAGCCCCCACCTGCTGTTGCCAACACATTGGGAATTCGGTCTTCACATATACATTTTACAGGGACATAAACATTCAGTCCATTGCACTGAAGGTATAACCTACATCTACGTAGGGCACGTTTACCACCATTCTACAGATGGCACAAGGAAAGGGGTTACCAAACCATGCCGTGTTGATACCAGGAGGAAAACCTAGAGTATTCATTCCCAGGCTTTTACAACTGCGGGGCCAGAACCCGTCTCAAGTGAAAGTGAAGTGATTTCTCAGTAGAAAATGGGCCGTTTCTGAAGGTTACTGAAGGGAGCGTCTCCTTTTACCCTTCAGCTAAGTGATTTTCCATGAGAGAAATTTTCTAGAGATTAACAAATTCCCTTTTAAGTTTCTTTCTTTCCTTCTTTCTTTTTTCTTTCTTTCTCTCTCCTTTCTTTCTCTCTCTTTCTCTCTTTCTTTCCTTCCTTCCTTCCTTCCTTCCTTCCTTCCTTCCTTCCTTTCTTTCTTTCTTTCTTTCTTTCTTTCTTTCCTTTCTTTTTCTTTCTTTCTTCTGAGACGGAGTCCTGCTATGTCACTCAGGCTGGAATGCAGTGGCACAATCTCGGTGCACTGCAACCTCCACCTCCTGGGCTCAAGCGATTCTCCTGCCTCAGCCTCCCAAGTAGCTGAGATTACAGGTACATGCCATCACGCCTGGCTAATTTTTGTATTTTTTTGTAGAGACAGGGTTTCGCCATGTTGGCCAGGCTGGTTTTGAACTCCTGACTTCAAATGATCCCCCAGCCTCGGCCTCCCAAACTGTTGGGATTACAGGCGTGAGCCACCACGCCCAGCCCTGTTTAAGTTTATTCTGCTCAACTCAGATAGCCACCCTCAGTAGCCTCGAAGAAGAATCACAGAATGACGGAGCACTACTGGAATTTATCTGGCCAGTGGAGACAGGCATTGAACATCTAAGAAAACTGCCTCTCTTTTCCATTGCAATAGTCTTTCCAATAAAATGAAAAGAAAATGGAATTTTAAAACTTTAAGGAAAAGAACATGCTATTTCTTAACCTAAAAGTAAAGATTGCCCAGGGAGATGATAAAGGAATAAAATAATTCTCAGACTGTGTCTGCCTTCTAGTTTCAGCCAAGTCCCTAGATGACCAGAATAGATCAAAACAGCTGAGGGCAGCAGGAGGCAGGAGACCCCCTGAGTGACGGATATGCCTTCTCATGTGATATGGCAGGCACTCGCTCGGGGACAGAAACAGACATGATTCCCCAGCTCTAAGCCACTGTTGTTCTATGATAGATGAGAAGCCTTTCAAGCAAAATGTCTTTTTAAAAAATGTCTTGACTGTTCATTAGGTTTTATTATTATGATTGTTAAGTCAAATGTGTGTACACACTTGCAATTTTATTGACAGAGATCAAAGGCCTTTTAAAGCATTCGGTTTAAGGCAAGGGCCAAGCACCCAGAGCCTCTAAAAACTGTCACTACCTGGCCGGGAGTGGTGGCTCACGCCTGTAATCCCAGCATTTTGGGAGGCCAAGGTGGGTGGATCACTTGAGTTGAGGAGTTTGTGACCAGCCTGGCCAATAGAGTGAAACTCCATCTCTACTAAAAATGCAAAAAATTAGCCGGGTGTGTTGGTACACGCCTGTAATCCCAGCTACTCGGGAGGCTGTGGCAGGAGAATCGCTCGAACCCAGGAAGCAGAGGTTGTAGTGAGCTGAGATCATGCCATCCTCTTAGTCAGTTGTTTCCAGATTCTTCCCTCACACACTGATGTGTAACACAGGCTCCCAATGACATGGTGGCTTCTTCCTGAGGATGTGGGAGGGACCCCCTGCTCCCACTCCCCACAGCTCATGAGCTTGGCCTGCAGAGGGAGGGAAGGGGGGCCAGCAGGTCTGTGCTCCTTTGAGGGGGTGGCATCCAGCCCCATCCCATCCAAGACTTCTTCTAGGAGGTTCCCTTGGTGTCCCGCTAGGTAGTTAAGGGAAGCGAAGATTTCTTGATATGCATTACTCATGCAGGCCTATTGTGCATTTGAATCACCTGGAGATCTTGTCCACATGGTTTCTGGTTTGGGTGGTGGGGCGGGGCCTGAGAGCCTGGATTTCTGACAATTTTGGAGTAATGCCAGTCCTGCTGGGCCATTGGCCACACAGGTCAGGGGGCATTCACCTGTCATTATCTGTCCCATTCTTTCAGGCGCATTCGCTTGTTAACCAGAGACTGGGAGTTTTGTTGAATGCGTTCAAAGGCCTGTGACATTATTGCCCTGAGGCCACTGCAGCCCAGCTCTGTTCTGTAGGAATCAGTTTCTCTCCTTAGAGTGACAGGTGATCTCACCGCAGGGCTCCTTGGTTGAGTGTTGGCCCAAGGACACTATCAACTCTCAAGAGAAGCATCTGCCAGCCAGCCACCCATGATTCGCAGGGTTTAGGCTCTGGAACGGTGAAGAAGTGGCTCCACGCCATGGGCAGATCTGAAGGAATTCTTAGCAATCGTGTCCGTTCTGATGCTAAAATGAGGAAAATCTAAATCAACGCTGGGATGGACACAACAAAAGCAGAAATTCCAGCATATTTAGAAATAATCCCAATAATCCCAACCAGAAATAATCTAAGGTCTGCCATGGATAAAAATACAAAACCGGATTTAGGGCTAGATTCAGCAGGAAGGGCTTGTGGAATGACAGGAAGGAGAAGGGACAGGGAGGGGAGACACAGCTGATGGCCTCACTGTAGATTCAAGATGAGGATCAGTTAGAAGCATTTGGACAAAGGTCAAAGCTGTTAAAAAAAATTCATACACCATCAATCAAAATAAAACAACGTGAATGAAGTGACTCAGGGAACATGCAGTTTGGCTCAACTGTAAACTGCTTCAGTAACATCTTGCTCCCCTTCTCCTGGTCAAGAAACTACATTATTCATCTTCCAATAACAGATTATCGCCCTGTTCTTGGAATGAGAGGAGCTCCACATTGCTGGAAAATAGCACAGCTCACAACACCTAGAAGAATATCCACATGACTTTCAACATACTTTAGAAAAAAAATCACAACAAAGTGGCTCAATGACTAAAGAGAGACATTTCTTCTATTTGCCATAAAAACCAGAAAGGCTATTTGCAGAAAAAGAGCCAACATATTTTCTTGAAGTCATTGGTAGGCTGTCTCTTCCCCAAGCAGAAATTCAAAAACACAATATAAACATTTGGTTCAAGTCTTGGCACTTTCTGCAGTAAGAACAATACCCCTCCCTCTCCCTGGTGGTAGCAGAACTGGGGAGCCCTGGGCTGAGCCCGTTCCCTCCCTCTCTGCCATACTGCCTGCTGGAAGACTGGAGGAACGTCTAAACTTAGCACATCGTGGTGTAGGCAAGATTATGCAAGCACAAGGAGATAGTCCAAGCAAATGTTCTGAAATGAATTCATATCTTCAAGATCAGAGTCTAGACTTATTTGCCCAGACGCTCAGCACTTCCCTGCTCTTGTTTTTGAAAATTGTGGTCCTTGGCACCCAGTTAGTTTGTCCTATCTTCATAGATTCTGGGAGGGGGCCAGACACCAGCGTGACTGTCTATGCACACTGCGTGCTGGACTGTCATGTGTGAGGGCGTGTTGTGGGTGTGCCTGCACATGCCTGCATGTGTGAGTGCTCCTTCTTCAGGAAGTATTTTTACCTCATTGCACATTCCCCTTCCTGCATAAAATGAACTCCTTCCATTTCTTAACCAAAATGATTCTTGCCCATCAATCAGGATTCTGTTTAAATGTCATTTTCTTAAAGGTCTTAAAGGGTATCCTCAGATCACTGGAACCCAAGTAGGAATTTGGATAAATTATCTCATGTCCCAGTTCTTTTCCTTAACACATTTTTGCCATAATATATACCCTTGAATTTTTAATTGTTTAATGCCTGTCTCTCACTAGTCTACCAAATTACTGAGGATGGAGACCCTATCTGTTTCTTTATTGTTGTATACTTAACATATAACAAAGTGCTTAACACCTAGAAGCCAGGTAATTAATAAACAGTCAGATAAATACATGAGCAACTGAATAATAAAGATAACTCCATATAGTTATATGTGGAAATATATATATATTATATATACACTGTTGTGATTATCGTTATTACTTTTGTCATCACTGTTCTAATTTGGGGTTCAGTTTTTATTAATTATTTATAAAATTTAGTAATTTCTAGATTTACCATAATATAAATTAATTATTACTATCTAATACAAAATTACTGTTTACCAGCAAATTCTCACAAATAATTATTATAGTAACAAGAAACTATTACTATAACTAAATTATTACAAATTATTATTATAGTCTATGAATCCAACAGGAAACAGCAGCTCTTATTTTGAATAGGTAAGGTTTCTAAGCTGGAGGGATCAGGTCTTCCTTATCCAGCTTAATTTCTAGTCCTTCCATGACATTTTTCCAGATAATATGCCGGGACACCCTTAGCATTCCATCAAGTTTTGGGTAAGAATATTTTCCATCTCTGGCCAGCTTGATTTGCCGAGCTGTGCTAGATGTCAGCAGCTGCACTGGACATTAGCTGAGGGTAAATAATGAACATGCATCAGCTTCCAACTCTGTGCCAGCCTGTGCCACATCTTTGGCCCTGGGTAAGGTTAGCCTAAGTGATGCCAGCCAAACACCCTCTGCAGGCTCCTTCCCATCTTCTTGGTTCCCCTTCTTCCCCGATGCACGCCCCCCACCCCCCAAAAAAGTCTGTCACTCCTGCTGCTCAGCCTAAGGCAAGCTATACACAATTGTTGATGCACGAAAGAAGATATGCTGGACACACAAAATGAAACAAACAGAAACTCAAGGCCATCGACGCTAAAGCAACCCTTCTGGCTGGTGTTTGGAGACCAACACAAACTTTCTGGAGCATATGTCAGCATTTAAGATGGGAAAAAAATGGAAATCAAAAGAGTCCCTTTCCCCTGTTCCTGTCTCGCCACTCCCAAACCGTCGTTACTCTGGTCCCTTCAGGTGAAATTTAGGGTTGGTGGAAGGAGGGTGGTGCCCTGGGCCAGGTGGTCAAGAGTAGCATCACAGCTAGTTAAACTCAGGGCAACAGGAAGGAGACTAGACATTAACGACTGAGGTGTAGCTTCCTCTTGGCGGACGTTCCACATTACCACTGACTTTGTGCATCCCTGCTCATCTAAGCTGTGGTTAGATGTCATCTAACTTGTGGTTCTCAACTTTGGCTACCCGTCAGTCACCTGGGGAGCTTTGAAAACTCCTGGAAGAAAAGACCCCGGAGGCACCTCAGGCCAATTGGATCAGAATCCCTTGGGCTTCCAGATGGCTCCGATGCACCATTACAGCTAAAATGCTTGAAAAGGGTCACAAGGCGTTCAGGTGTTAAATCAGACACAGAACAGAAGAAGCAACTGCTCTGTTTAAAAATAAGAGCCACCTATAATGAATGCTATTTTTAAGAGGTTTTATACAAGCAAAATAAAGCATACAGCCAACGCCACTTTCTTTCTTTTTTTTTTTTTTTTTAAACACAGAGTCTTGCTCTGTGGCCCAGCCTGGAGTACAGTGGCACGATCTTGGCTCACTGCAACTTCTGCTTCCTGGGTTCAAGAAATTCACCTGCCTCAGTCTCCTGAGTAACTGGGATTACAGGCATGAGCCACCACACCTGGCTAATTTTTGTGTTTTTAGTAGAGACAGGGCTTCACCATGTTGCCCAGGCTGGTCTTGAACTCCTGACCTTGAGTGATCTGCCCACCTCGGCCTCCCAAGGTGCTGGGATTATAGGCGTTAGCCACCACACCCAGCTTCTTTTACTCTTACAATAAATTTTGCTTTGTTAGAGTGAAAATAACATCAACTGTGTTACTCTGTATGAAAATGTTCTTTTTCCCTGTTTGGTTTTACAGCATCTCCATTCCTACAGCTATAATTTTATATGATGCCTTGCTGGTATTTGCAGAGCAAAAATATTATATATTATATGTAGTTCCTTCTGCCAAAAGGTATAGAAAGTTTTGTAAAACTATGGAAGAGGAAAGAGCATTAGGTTTATTTTTAACTCATAAAAATTTTATTTGCTTTTTTTTTTCCCCTTTACACGGGTTGCTGTTACTTTAAGAGTCTACTGGCATTTAACTGGCAATAAAAAGGGCAAAACAAACTGTTCCTTCCTTTAGATTGTGCAATTTTATTGCGCTGTTTTAGAGGGACCAAATATGCCTTTAAAAGAAATGCATGTTTAACCACCTTCTTTGTGTAAAGCAGTAGGTCTGTGAGTTGACAAACCCCAAGGGTAAGGTAGTGGTTCTGTGTGTGCCTGATGTTTTTCAGGGATACTTAGAAACAATCTGAAGCTGAGTGGCATGGATGGCACTGGCTCCGCATGCAACCAAATCAAAGACGACTGAGTTTAGCTTGAGCCCAATCATGTCTATACTCAAAGTAAACGCAAAGGCGTCTGGAAGACCACGGTGATATACTATGGCTCTAACCAGAGGAATCAGCATAGAATTATATGTTTACACTAAATTGGGAAGCCATTGACCAGAATAAACGTTTCACACTTAATCGATGACACATTTTTGATCATATAGGCAACGCTATCCAATACCAACAGTGGGTTCTATCTTGCCTTTGGTGATGCTGTGCTTTCTGTTTTCATAGCTTTCTACACATGTTCACATAGATCGAAAAAACGGCAGCGTAATGAGTCAATAGCAAAATGGTCACTGGCGTTTCAAAATATTACTCAGGCAGAAAATAATATGTGGATTTCATAGCAGTACGTATATTTAAAAATAAAAGTTGGAGAATTTGGAGGAAAAGAAGAATTTTTTTGAAAATATGTTTTGCCTCCAAGGGAAATAGAGCAATAACCTCCACTATCAGATAGCTTTTTATTTGTTTTTCCTCTTTCCTCATGGCTCTGTTATTTTCTGTGGTCATAGCAGCAATCAGAAATGAAAAGATTATTATTTGCTATGGGTGGGTGCAAAAGTAATTCAAGTCTTTTTTCTCTAATGTGGCTTTATTACCACTTTCATCAAAAATGTTATAATAACAGTATTTAATTTTGATGGACTATTTCCTGCACACTAGATACTTTGCTAAGTACATTATCCACACTGTTTTATTTAATACATTAGGAAGTATTTATCTTATTGTACCATTTTGCCATTATGAGTCATAGACAACTCAAGAAACATCCCGATGTCACACAGCTAGAAAGTGTGAAGCAAGCCCATTCTATTAAATATTCCCTAATAAAATGCTGAACTCTATTTTTCCTTGTTTTGCTAATATTTACTTTTGAAACTTTATTAGTAAGTGTATGTAAGCTTAGTTATATTTTCCTTGAGAAAATTGAAACATTTGTGTTATATAATGATCCTCTCTCTTTATCTTTAGTAGTGGTTTCTGCCTTTTAAGTCTCTTTTGCCTAATAATAAGAGCATTAAATCAGCTTTCCTTTGTTTGTCTGTGTGTACACGCATATGTGTACAATTGTGTGTATTTACATAACATTTATATATGTATATCAGTTTATAACAGTGATAGATATAGATAATCAGTTTACAAGAAGAAAAATTCTTTTAACTGCCAAATTTTCTAAATTCTTGTAATTTGGATGTGTCTCTCGTAAATAGCATTTAGCTAGATATTTTTTAATCCAGTATGAAAATATTTGCTTTTCAACCAGAATGTTGAGTCGATTCCCATTTAGTGTTGAAGGGAAGAGTGCTAATTGCCTACAGTTTCCATTCTCCACTTCTTCCTTCTACTCATAGAACCTTCTCCCAGGTCCTTCCCTGAGCTGAGTGTGTCCTGGGAGTGCTCGTAGCTACGTATGAGTGAGCTGGGGGAAGTAGAATGGAGCAAAGGTGCACAGGCTGCTGGGGGTGACTGGGTCTCAGTCTGAGAAAGGAGCTCCTAGGTGTCCACCTTCACCCGTTCCTGTAGACCCAGCTATGGTCACAGCTGAAAAGGCACCTTAGAGCCAGTGAAGCAGGCCGAGAGAAGAGTGTGCAGGGCCATCCACAAGCCTATGTCCACTCGTGGGGACTCTCCAGAGAGGGAGAAATCCACTCCTCTTCTCTTCCTTACAGAAGCTCAGCCTGTTCTTCCATCAGAACCTTTTGGATTGCTGACATATTTGACTTTTATTTTACTATCTCATATTGTGCTTTCTATTCTTCTCATGCGTGCTATCATTCTTTTGGACTTTTCTTCCTTCTTGGCGTTTTTTGAATTTAGAGGCTTTTTTCCTCTCCCTACATTTAAAAATTTTCCACCAAGTTGAATTTACAGTCCCTATTTCTATTATGTTAGTGTTTAGTATTATTTAACAGTTCCCATACAGAAGTCAAAATTTAATCACCATCTCTTCCCTTCTCCATTACAACGCAAAGGTCTATGCATATTGAATGTCTATAACATTTGTGCCCTGTATCTTAATTATAACATTTAAATTCCATAAACTGAAATTTTTCTTTATTTAGGTTCCTTTGGCAACTCTCAGATTTTATGTCTTAATTTTACACTCATTCTTGAAAAACAGTTTTAGTGAACATAAAATCAGGTTGACTATTGATATTTTTCAACACAAATAGGAAGTAATTTCAAGTCTTTTTTGATTTCCCTTGTTGCATCTGGGAAGAAACGTTAGTTCTTATTGTGATTCCTTTGAAATTAATCTGTATTTTCTCACTAAGGGCTTTAAGTAACTGCTGTTTGTTTGAAATTGTATTTTGAGTAATATAGCTGTTGATTTTTCTTTTTACTGTATCCTACTTGATATTCGACTTCAGAATAGGCGTCTTTCAACAAATCTGGAAACTCCTTACATGTTAACTATTCAAATTCTCTCTTTTGGAAATCTGAGTAGATGAATTTTAGAACTCGCCTTCTTCATCACACCTCTTTAATTTTACTTGCTTTATTACTACAATTTATATCATTATATCAGATTTACTTTCCAATTCACTAATTGTCTCTTCAACTGTGTAATTCATAATTGAAACTGAATTATTATTTTTTAACTTCAGACACTTTATTTATCATTTCTGAAAATCCTACCTGGGGCTGGGCACGGTGGCTCATGCCTGTAATCCTAGCACTTTGGGAGGCCGAGGTGGGTGGAATACAAGGTCAAGTGATCGAGACCAATTTGGCCAACATGGTGAAACCCCGTCTCTACTAAAAATACAAAAAAAATTAGCTGGGTGTGGTGATGCACATATGTAGTCCCAGCTACTTGGGAGGCTGAGGCAGGAGAATCACTTGAACCCAGGAGGCAGAGGTTGCAGTGAGCTGAGATCACACCACTGCACTCCAGCCTGGCAACAGAGCAAGACTTCTTCTCAAAAAAAAAGAAAAAGAAAAACGAAATTCCACTTGGTGTTTTCCTTTCAAATTTGCTTGGCTGTTTTGTAGAGTCGTCATTATTTGCTTACATTTTTTAGTCAATTCCTATATTTAACTTTATGAAGCATGTATATAATATACACATATGTTACCTTTTATTATTTATAATATATAATTACATAAATATATCATTTGTAACAGTAATATAATTCATAATGATAATAATTTATAAGAATATATAATTATATGGTATATAATTATAACAATTTATAATGGTAATATATAATAGTATCTTTATTTATAAATATTTTAATTATAAATTATTTACAAGTAATATTATAAATAAACATAGTATTTATGTATATGATACATTTATATTATATATAACATTATATAATATACTATAGCTGTATCATACCTTAGTCAATTCCAGTGTCTAAGAGTGTGCAGGATTGGTTCTGCAGTCTGTCGTGTCTGCTGTGTCTCACTCATTGTGCCTTCTTCCTTGAGGTGTTGTGTGTGGTATCATGATGTTTTTCATCATCTTTGAAACCTACCACCGTGAGAATTATCTGAGGCTGTGTTCTAGGTCTATTTCTCTAGAAAACATTTGTATTTGCTTCTTTTAAGCATATTATTTTAAACTTCAAAATTGTCTTCAAGGTTTACTGGACCAAAAATTTTGCTGAAAATTTATTCGGACAGCATTACAATTTGATGTGAGGGCCAGGTTCTGGTTATGATCAGGAGTGCTTTGTTGATTCATTTCCCTACACTCAGGGCCAGGATGATGGAATGCACATCTTTCTGGTGTTCCCTTCTGTCAGGTGTGTTTATTTCTAGTTCACTCTCATGCAGAAGGTGCAGCCATCGAAGTCTCCTTCTGACCCCGCCTGGTGGTTCTGAGCCTTGGCCTCTCCTCCCACAGACCCTCCACTGTCATCTGAGATTCCCTGGAGACGAAGGCAGCTTTGGGGCTCAGCCTACATCTGACTTTATCTGACTTTGTCCTTTATTGTGGGTGTGAGAGTGGTGGAACTGTGATCCTAAATTACTTTTTGACAGTCCAGCAACAGTGTATGTGTGTGCATGCATGTATGTGTGTGGATATGAGCCTTAAGATTTTCTGGGAGGAATAATGAGATAGTATTTCATGTGTATTTGTGTGTGTTCTGTGTATGTTATTTATTTCCAGAATGGCAGAAAGCTCGTGGTGGCAGAAAACATTTCTTTCATGCATCTGTCAGTGTTCTCTGTGCAGCTGGAAATGTTGTGAATATCTGGTTTTTATAGTAAGTTTTCTGCCATGGATTTGCCCAATAGCTAATCAACATTGATACGGTTTGGTTCTGTGTTTCCACCCAAATCTCATCTTGAATTGTAATTCCCACCTGTCCAGGGAGGCAGGTGATTGGATCATGGAGGTAGTTTCCCCCATGCTGTTCTCGTGATAGCGAGTGAGTTTGCACTAGATCCCTGATGGTTTTATAAGCGTTTGACAGTTCCTCCTTCGCACACACACTCTCTTCTGCTGCCTTGTGAGGAAGGTACCTACTTCCCCTTCCATCATGACAGTAAGTTTCCTGAGGCCTCCCGAGCATGCAGAACTCTGAGTCAATTAAACCTCCTTTGTTTATAAATTAACCAGTCTGGGTAGTATCTTTATAGCAGTATGAGAACAGACTAACACAAACACCGTCTACCTCTGTAATCTATGGACACCACCAAGCATTCGTAGCAGCCAAGCCCCTGTGATCAAGCCCACTTGATCAGGTCTGCCATTCGGACTCTTGGGCCTCTTGCATCATCAGGGGAGCAGACCTTCTTTTTAATATGTCCATGAGTAGATTTGGAAAGAACAGTTTCTGTGGGCATGTTTCTCACAGAGAAGAAAAACACAGAAATCAGCTGATTATCCCTTGTAATGAAAGAATGTTCAGCTTGATGATATCTTTAATAACCAGAAAATTAACTATGAAATACTCTAGACTCTGGGTGGAAAGAGAAAACAAAAAGCAAAAAAAAAAAAATAGCAACCTCTTATTTAACTTTGCATTTGTTTAATATTTTATGAATAAAGAGGTTAAGTATTGTCCAGTGTTATGAAGATGAGAGAAATACTTTCTTTTCTTCTTTTTCAATAAGTAGATTTTTATCATCTCTTTTTCTGACCATGAGAATAATTCATGATCATACAAGACGGTCAGGGTTCAAATACCAGCTCCACTGGTCACTAGTTTTATGAACTTGTAAAATTGTTTCAATTCTGCATGCCTCATTTATAAAAGCACAGAATCGCGGTGATTCTGACCTGAGGCAGTTTTGAGACTTCAGCTGTAAATGATTGTAAAACTTTCTGTGGAGCCTGGCACTTGGGAACCACAATCACACAAATGGTAATCAAAAAAATAAAAATAATCTTATAATATCTTGGTTAAATATGTATATATATATATATATATATGTATATAATCAATATTGAAAAACATAAATAAGTGAAATTGCCAATGATGTCGCCCTGGGAATTAGTTACTGACGGCATAGGTTGTGTTTCTCCCGAGCAATGCACCGGGAGCTTCTTGTCTTCTCTTCCCAGATCCCTTTCTTCGATGTTTGTGTTTGTGTGTAGTTTTTTCTAATAGAAATGAGATGTACTACCTCACATGTGCTACCTTCTTTTATCAAATAACTATATATTATGGTTATTATTATATTGCAATAAGTATAGATCTAGAATAGATGATCATTTTAATGGTTACATAATAGCCCATTGTATAGTTATAACATGATTTATTTGTCCAATCTCCTGTTGGTAGGTTTGAATGTTTTTATTTCCCTTTCTTCTGCTTCTCTGTAATGGCTATTGTCAGTTTTTGTGAACTTGACTACTGATTTCTGTAGGATAAATTCCAAGAAGTGCGATTGTACAATCAAACAGCCCACGTTGCTGAAGTTTTTCAGCTGTACTTCCCAATTGCATTCCAAAAATTTTGTAATTGCTGGGCACAGTGGCTCACATTTATAATTCCAGTTACTTGGGAGGCTGAGGCAGGAGGATCACTTAAGCGCAGGAGCTCCAGAATGGCTTGGGCAACATAGCGAGACCCTGTTTAATATATATATATATAATTTACACTCCCATAAATGATGCATAAGTGTAGCCACTTTTTCACTTTTTTTTTGTAATTTTGGATCATTCAATAGACAAAAATACTTTCTTTGTTGCAGTAATTCATGTAGTTTTGATTGCCAGTATAAGTGGGTGCAACCATGCAGCATATGTAACATTATGCTGGCAGCTTCTCTATGTGGCAGGAGACAGTGTCACCACAGCAGATATTGAATGAGACTCCCTACCCTGCGGCCAAGGCTTTCCCACCCTGAAACACAGCGCGATGCAGAGTTCTGCCGTTGGCTCAGGCTTGCTTGCAAAAGCAATGCAAAATTTTCTGGAAAAGATGAGTATCAAGAACCCATCTCTGGTCCAGAATTCAAAATATGAAAGCCTATTCAAGGTAGAACAGAGCATGGCAGGTGAAGGGATTATGACCAAGATTTGAAACCCACACATCAAAGAGAAACAGAGAACCTTACCAGCTGGAGGAAGGTGGAAGCCAAACTCAACACAAGAGCTGGGGAAGAGTATGTGGGAAGAGCTGGTGTCGTCCAAGCACGTGGTTGAAGCTGGAACATGCTTCAAAAGCAGCTGTTACAGCCCAGAGTCCCACCTCAGGGAACAGTGCCCCAGCACATGATCCTGAACTGGAAGGGTTATGTCCCTGGAGCCTGTGGGGGGCCAGGACCCAGAACAGGATGGGGACTCCAACCCCAATGGACACACCATTCAACTGAGCACTACAGTGACGACCACAAGCGTGGTAGGAGACTCCTCCATTGTAGCCGTCCTTCCTCTTTGCCTGATATTCAGACAAAAAACCCCCAAGACCTCTGAATCATTGAGAGGAAGTCTTGAGACCAGGACCCACCGTGCCATCGTTTCTGTTCATGAGAGCACACCGACATTTGAGCAATTTGCTGGAGAAAAAGAAAAAAAAAAAAAAAGCAAGTGAAACATACCAGTCATAATAGCGCTGTTGAAAGAAAGTTTTGCCTGTTTGTTGACATTTTGAAATTCCTGTTTTGAGGATTTTCTATTTATATCCTGTATCCATTTTTCCTCCCTGGATCTTGCTCGTTTTCTCAGTGACATGGAAGAGCTGTTTATATGCGAGCGATGCCAACTGTTGTTGTGTGTTTTGGAAATATTAGTGAAGGAAAACAGCTAGAGAGAGAGAAAGTGAAATGGGAAGTAAAACAACTTTTTGTTTTTAAGACGTCCTTATTTACTTGCCACTCTAGCTAATAAATTCTTGTCAATTAAGTAATAAAAACCTCATAAAATTCTTTAGAAACCTTTTAGAACACCAGATCCTTAAAGAAGACTGGTAACTCCCAAGTTATTTAGGACACAGAAGCTCGCGCAGATAGGCTGGGAGCTGGGGAGGAAAACGAGAGCAGGAAGTAAAAGGAGGGTCTGGACTGACAGTGTCGCATGTGATTTGGCAAAGGGAAAGTTAGAAACAAATTTCCATTTGCTTGTGAACATTTGTGTGTGGTCAAACTATTCTTGACCATTCCAGAAAACTGACCCATACTCACAGTTGGAACTGAGACAAGGAATACATTGTTCAAAAAACAATTTGACCTATTTTAGACAGAAAACATAAACCTTGAAATCACATTTCAAAAGATTAAAAGTCAAAAGGCTGATTTCAAGTTGTAGCATGAATGTTTATTCGTAGGAAACCAGCAGCAGATTAATTATTCTTATATATTCAAGTGAGCACAGATTGAAAACCAGCCTTTTGCCGGGATACTATGTCAACACCAAAATTTTAAAATGTGAATGAAACAAATGATCTCCTTCAAGAAGCTCAAATTCTGTAAAGGAAGGGCAGATGTATAAACAGACAAGTGCAAGTGAGTATTAGTTATAGAACTGTAATGACAAAGACAGCATAGCAAAGTGGTTAAAATGGAAGCTCCGAAGACAGAATAACTAGGTTCCAGTTATTAGCTGTGTGACCACAGGCAAGTTGCTCAGACTCTCTGTGCCTCAATTTCTCATCTACAAAATGGAAATAATACTAGAACCTACCTCGTAGTTTGACCTTGGGATTACATTCATTAGTTGATACCCATAAGCATTCTGAATAATGCCTCCCATGTTATAAGCACTCAGTAAGTGTTAGTTGTTATGATGCTCATAAAGAGCTTCACATCTCAGTCTCATCATCTGTAAAATGGGGATAGCAATCCCTGCCTGCTCCAGTGATGACTATGATGCTTCTGTGAGAACATGAGAAAGTGCAAAGACTTGGAGTGTGATTAAGACCGGCCAAGGGAAAAATGTGATTTTAGCTCATACAAATCCATCCAAAGTATCTCCACCAAATAAAAATAATGTGTAAGTTTCTTATTATTACGTAATAAGTACCATTTCCCTTAATTTTCCACAATGGTTCACTTTGTGCTTTTACAAACATTGTCAGTAATGAGGCTCAAATTGCTGTTTGGCATCAATCGGCGGTCACTACTTCACATGTCATGAATTTCATTAAAGAGAAGCAAGTCAGAGGTAGACATCCAGATGGCACAAGACTCTAGGTAAAGCCCCCTTAACTTTCCAAGGATGTGGAACAGTCTATGAACACATGTTCCAGGCAAGGCAGCCACATGCACCATGCGCACCCAGGATGTGAGGATTAGAACCATGGCAATGGGTTTCCCTACCACACAAAGTCCTCCCAGCCCAGCCAAGGATTAGTAGGAATGAAGTGGTAGGACTAGATTTGCTGATTCTCATCAACAAATTCATCATTTACTTTACTACTTTACTCAAGATCAGCTCAGCCAGCTTAGCTGATTCTGTAGAGAAGTCTGATCTGGTGCCTAAATTCTGCCCCCAGGAACAAATGCCCCGCTAAGGAAACTCGATCACAGAAGACACCGCCCATTCTTCCTCATCCTCAGCCTCTCCTAGGCTCCCTGTTCTCAGTTCATATGCACGTATTGAAAACTTTCAAGCTTGAGCATGGAGGTGGTTCATTTCCAAAACCACGTTCAAATCTTTCGGTGAAACTTTACAAAATAGCAGACAATAGTTGAAGGCAGAATGAATAAGCAGCTCTCATCCAGCACCGTCAAAGATGTCCCGAGTGGAGTCTAGCTCCCAGGCTGTGAGAATGCAATCATAGTTAATTTGACTCTCTTAATACCATGGGAAATATTACTTGTGATTAGAGAATAAAATAAGACTATCTACAGATTTCTATAAGTGAAATGGCTAATGTTCTCATAATTAGATGTTGGCATGTAAAAATAAAAGAACAGTTCTCCTTCCTTGCAGTGAATGGCCACCAGCCGTGTGCTCGCCCTAGGATTTCTAACAGCTCTTTGATAGATCATGGAATGAGACAAAATGTGTTCCCCGGTGTGCTGGTGACTGATCTCTATCCCTGAAATCCATACCCTTATGTAATGTCATATTATTTCTATGCCTACAAAAACCCTAAACAAGGCTGTAAAATCAATGCATTTGTGTTCAGTTTTTTGGTTTCCCCGTTGTTGAATTTAGACTGTTTTAGGTTACTGAGAATATTAGTCAAAGATTGGTTAAATATGTAATTTCTGAGTATCAAGCCAAGAGTTTTAAAAGTACCTCTTTTTTTGTCATAGCTTTTGTTTTGTTGCTATCTTGATCAGTGTTATTGAAGAGACAAAATATCACGGTCTTAGCCTTCTAAGAGTTCACCATTTACGTAGGTCCCAAGGCTCACATTCATGAAACAAGTAGAGGGTAAAGATGAATCCAGGTTTTATGACTGTGAACTTGAAGGATTAAGGACTCAAAGAGAAGTAACACTGACAGCTGGGGTGTTAGGATTCAGGGAGACCTTCTGGACCAAATTGCCTAAGTGGACCATATTGCTCTGGATAAGAAGAGGAGATAGGACAGTGTATTGCAACTAAGGCCCTCTTGGGCCAAGGTCAGATGAGTCCAGGAATAAATCAGACTGGCCTGTGGGGCACTTGGATGGTGGGAGGAGTTTGTTCTCCAGAATAGCAGGATCAGATCCTGGAGGACACAGAGGCTGACGTAGTGCAGTGCACTGAGCTTTTGGAAATGCTCAAGCAAGGAGACAGATGAAAGTAATTTCTAAGGAAGATTAGTCTGGCTGTAGTGCATAGAATGAAAAAGAATATGGAGAGTCCATGTTAGGTCATTCATCTGGGAAAGTGTTGCAATGATCTAGGTATGACAGTTGCACACTCCACCAAAAAGACACACTCAGAGTATCATGTGAGGGGAAATAACACAACTTAGTGGTTAGCATAATGATAAAGATATTTTTTGCTTGGAATATGTGATTTTAATACTTTCCATGGAATCAATAAATCACTCTATTTGGGTCTGTTTAGTCTGCCGTACTTAAAGGGAAAGGAAGCAGAGGCTCTGCTCACAAATCATCAGCAGAATCCTAAAGGAATCTTTGGTTACTTTGAGAATTCCCCATTACCTATATACTTACAATTTGATTTTTAAATAAAACATACTTCCGTATCATTCTGTGTTAGGTTAATCTGCAAAACAACAAATATCTCATACAGAATTTCACATCTTCTCCAGATCCTTCTTCCAAAAGTTGCCGACAATCATACCACTCTCAGCTAGAAGTTGCCGACAATCATACCACTCTCAGATCAGAACTGTAAAGAGTGATAGTCAAGACTTACAGATCAGAACTGTAAAGAGTAATAGTCTCTTGGGCTGGGTACTGTGACTCACACCTGTAATCCCAGCACTTTGGGAGGCCGAGGCAGGTGGATCACCTGAGGTCAGGAGTTTGAGACCAGCCTGACCAACATGGCGAAACCCTGTCTCTACTAAAAATACAAAAATTAGCCGGGCGTGGTGGCGGGCCCCTGTAATCCCAGCTACTAGGGAGGCTGAGGCAGGAGAACCGCTTGAACCCAGGAGGTGGAGGTTGCAGTGAGCTGAGATTACACCATTGCACTCCAGCCTGGGCGAAAGAATGAGATTCTGTCTCCAAAAAAAAAATAAAAAAGTAATAGTCTCTTTATTAGGATTCCATCAACAACCTCCACCCAACAGTTGTCTATCAGATGCTTACTGTGTGCTAGCTGGTATCTCACAGGTTGGGTTCCAGCTGTCAACAAGACAAACCCAGCCTTTATTCTCAGGGGGCTCAGAGCCCAAAACATCCCTCTATAGATAAGGTCTTTTAAAGATTTCCTTTTAAAATTATCTTCCCAGATACTGAATACAACTTGAAAGTAGGTGAGTCTTTCTTTCCCTACTTTTTGTAGTGCAGAATAGATAGTAAATATTTACCAGGGTCTTGTTCATTCATATACCTAAAATGACATTTTAATGAAAATAATTGTAAATCAGTTTATCTTTATGCTCTGAGGGCTTAAGATTTGGCGCGGTTTGGGGCCTTATAATGTATTCTCCTGGCCGAGCCAATTTTCATGATCCAAGCTAACGGCAGGCAGAGCTTCTGGAAAGGCTGGGGCAATGCTTCCAACTTCCTGGGAAGGTGGGGGTTACTCTCATAAACCCAGTGCGGGAGTGTTGTCTGAAGGCCTTGTTGGGAATAAAAAGATAATTAATAGGGTGCATGATACTGAATATAAATTATCCACAGCTATGCCTCCCCTAATTAAACAGAAGAGTGAAAACAAAGGGCAAGGACCAGTTTCACTTGTAACTCTGTTTTTCTACATTGCAATGTTGGAGGCTGGCAGCGCTCCCTATAAATTCTCTTTTTGGTGAACTCTTACATAAGTATTTGTAGGAACAAGTCCAAATAGCTTAGTAAGACACTACACCCCAATTTGTTTCTTAAAACACAAAAAGTAAGAAATAACCTAAAATGATGTAGTATACAGATCTGCAGAAAGGAAGCTTAGATTTAAACGTTCATCTTTTTTTGAGCCAATTTTTTTGGATACTATAAAGTCACCCTTCAAATAAGAAGATGCAAACATGGGTGAGAGCAATAGTCTTCCTCGGAGTGGAAATATCTAATAATTATTTTGAGAATCTATATTTCGAATCTGTCATGTGAGTTCAGGTTTTTTTTTGTTTGTTTGCTTGTTTGTTTATTTTTGTTTTTGTTTTTTGAGACGGAATTTTGCACTTTCACCAGGCTGGTCTTGAACTCCTGACCTCAGGTGATCGACCCGCCTCGGTTTCCCAAAGTGCTGGGATTACAGGCGTGAGCCACGGCGCCCGCCATGAGTTCAGTTTTAAGTGAACTGCTATTTTCTAAAAGGGCATGCTTTAAAAAACAAAAGATGATTTGCTGCACGTAAGAAAATAATGTTATTAAAAATTTACTTGCCAGTCAAAACCTTAAATACCCTAAAATATTCTGGGACTTTCCTGAGCCAATCACATGTGATCACCGGACATTCAGGCAGCATCAGACACCCTGGCTGCTCAGGAGGTGTCACTTCCCCATGCACCCAGGCCTGCTCCCTCCTCTCTGTCATAGAGTTTTATCAGAAGATACAAGCTGCGTGTATTTATTTCCATCTTGCTAGTTAATGCATTGAGAGTAGCTATGCTTTCTAAAATGCTTCCTATTTGTTAGAGCACCACCATTTTGCATTTCCTAAGAAGAAATGGAAGAGACACAAGTGACCAGGCTAAATGGAGACTCAGCTGTTTTATCTGTTATTTAGAACATGCAGTCTTAGAAAATCAGGTCCCTTAGCCTAAGTTTCCAGAAGCTCAGAGCTATTGTAATATGAAAAAGTCTCAACAGAGCCAGAATCTACTCTTAGATGTCCCATACCCAGCCTGCTTCCCTCATCTGAATACTTTGTGAGGGTGGAAAGGGGATTAGAATGTTTTCCATCCATGGTAGCAGTTTTTTTTTTTTTCAATGCAAAAAATACAATTTTAATGACAAGCCATTATCTTCTTTGATCTCAAAAGGAACTTTTGTGCCAGGCATAGTGGCTCATGCCTGTAATTCCAGTGCTTTGGGAGGTCGAGGTGGACAGATCACCTGAGGTCAGAAGTTCAAGACCAGCTTGGCCAACCTGGTGAAACCCGGTCTCTACTGTAAATACAAAAATTAGCCAGCTGTGGTGGCAGACACCTGTAATCCCAGCTACAGGAGAGGCTGAGGCATGAGGATCACTTGAACCCAGTAAGCAGAGCTTGTAGTGAGCCGAGACTGCACCACTGCACTCCAGCCTGGGTGACAGAGCAAGACTCCATCTCAAAAACAAAAAAAAAAAACTTTTTTTTCTATTGGCTAAGCTAAGCTAAGGATATTTAAAATTTTAGAACCTCAACATCTGAAAGAAAAAAAAAGCAAACCAACAGAAAACAGGAAAAAAAATGTTCCATGTCTCCGAAGGTGGAAAAAATGGAAAATAAATATTTCATCCAAAGTGACCTAGCTCCGCAGGGATGTAATGTTTCCCACAGCCTCTTCTGGCTGCTGCACTTCTTCTTCATGAGTAAAGTATGCTGTTTACAGTGTGTCCAGTCACCTCTGGTCCATGTGGGATACACGAGGACAGGCTTACTAAAACTCCATACCTGGTTAGAGAGGTGGGGTAGGGGACTCAAACAAGAGATTGTCTTTCACTTTCAAAGAACTCTGATTTAAAATAATTTTTGGTGTTATGGACTGAATTAACCATGTTCCCCAAAATCCATGTGTTAAAGGTCCTCATCCTTAATACCTCAGAGTGTGACTATATTTGGAGGTAAGGTCTTTACAGGTAATTAAGGTAAGATAAGGTCATTAGGATGGGCCCCAATCCAGTATGACTGGTGTCCTTGTAAGAAGAGCTTAAGACACAGACACTCATGGAGGAAAGATGGTGGGAAGAGGCATGAGGAAGAGACAGTGTTCATGAACCAAGGAGAGAGACCTCAGGGAAACTGGGAAGAGATTGGTTGATCAGAATTCCAACACTGAAAAGAAATTACTTGAGCTTGATCCATAGACTAGTATAGAAACTTCTGTCTTTTTTAAAGGAGACCCTTAGGGATTGATATGCTAGGTTTTTTTTTTCTTATAAACGGAATTTGACCTGTCGTATCCCAACACTAGGATTGGTTTCACTTCCCTCCTAATTAGTGTTTCATAGTGACAATCAAAAGATGAAAATTTTAGTTTTGTTCCTTTTCTTTCATGCATTGGAACAATTGGATGATTTTTATTTTAATGTTTTCTGAACTTTCCAAATTTTCTCACTTCCTTCCTCCTTAGAAAGCTCAACAAATGGGAAAGAAACATGATTTTATGTTTCCTCCAGAAACTCCAGATATTTCTGAATCACAGAGGTACTCTCAAGCAATATATTCCTGTTATTTATTTATTTTTCTTAAAAAATACTCATTTACCAAATACAAGTGGACCAACGTGACCTCATCAACAGGCTAATTTGTTATTAATGTTCAGAAAATGCTCAGAAGGTGCTGCTACTTTTCATATTTCTTACTGATGAATGAATGGGACAGAATTAGAAATTCTTGGCAATTGGCAAAGGGTCCCAACACATGCAATCACTTCCTCCTATTGCAGAGAAGGAAGTGTCTGTATTCATTGCTCCAGAAAGATAAGGTGCACAGAGGGCTTTGCAGGGGAAGGAGGTAGGAAGCCTGGAGCTGGAAGAACCATAAATAGTGTCCACGAGAACAGCAGGACCAGAGGGACCAATGCTGAACGTGCCCTGGCTCATAGTGATCAACAGGCTGATAGTCGCCAATAATCAACAACTTATTTGTACCAGAGACGCTGCTTCTGGGTTCATGCAATGGTTATTATCCTATGGATACCTTTTCCTTTATTGAATATTTCAACACCTCTTTTGCTTCTGTGTCAGGCCTTGTTCTTGGCTCTGCTGCACAGTGGGCCAAAGAGACAAAAATCTTCATCCTTACAATCGACTGTTAGCACACGGACACAGTGCAGCCTTATGAAACAGGACTGTAGAGTCAGGTTGTCTGCATTTTTACATTACAAATTAAGATTAAATATGTTTTCACCTTATAAGACCCCCCTAAAGACGACAGTAAACAGTTCATATATTTGTTACTCGAGGCATCGTATATGTTCCCTGACCAGAAACAACTAAGCATCATTCTGTCTCCTGCCCAGGTTCTATTTCTCCAGTGTCACTGGGACTTCTAGGAGAAAAGTTCTTTCTCTTCCTCTGGATAGCACGGGATGCAAATGCAATTCCTGGGAATTTTGCAGCCATTTCATCATCATGAGGGAAATGATCATGAGGATAAAGATGTTCCATGGGGTTTGGCAAATCCATGAGAATCACAGAGCACTGGTGGCAGGTGCCTGCTCAAATCATTTTTGAATCTCGTCCTCCCTAGAGACTTGCCAGTTCCACAAATCATGTAGCTACTGTGCAGTGGTTTGAAAATGCACATACAAATTCTTTGACACTTGTCCTTTCCAAGTCTAATTTTCCTTTCCTCTGAAAGTGAGCCGGACTGAGTGACCTGCTTCCAGTGAATAGAGTCTGGCAGAGGTGAAAGTGGCTTTTGAAGTGAGGCCACAGCAATGCTGTCACTTTCACGTTGTTCTCTCTTGGATAACACAGTCTGGGGAAGACCATGGCTAAGCCATAAGGGCAATCCAGTGTGGGAAGAAACTGGGCCTCTTGCCAACAACCACCACACATTGGCCACCATGGGAGGAGCTACCCTGGGGGCTGATCCTCAACCCCCCGTAAGGTCTTCAGGTCCTGAAGCCCCCAGTGGCCTCCTGAACTGCAATGTCTTGAGAGACTCCAATTACCTTGATCTTGAACTCCTGATTCTTAGAAACTGAGAGGATAATAATTGCATTAAAACTTTAAACCTCTCCATGTTGAGGTGATTTTTTTAATTCAGCAAGAGATAACTATTGTAGATTTTGGTAGCACAAATAGATGCACAAGCAGTGAGGAGTTGGGAAAATATTGAGGAAGGTGTAAGTGACAACCAGAGGAACCTTGAAAACACCGAAAATAAATATCTGCTGGTTGCTATGAGAAGGCTATAGGGGAAGGCTTAATGTAAAGTGAAGAAAATGTTGTTGAAAATGGAAGAAAACTGGATCCTTGTCACATAGTGGCAGAAAGTTTACCAATATTTGCACTTGCAGTAATGTGAAAAATAGAAAATGCACCTAATAAACCTGGTGATTGGCTAAAATTTCCAGGTAGAGTTTTCAAAATGCTATTGGGCTGCTTCTTGGAAGAAGACAGAGATCAACTAAAGGAAGAACAGATACCAAAAAAAGAAACAAGGACTCCTTAATTTTGAAAATTATCAACCTCCCCTGATGATAAATAATGCTAAAAATAAATAATGCTAAAATTAAGAAATGACTCCCAGGCAAAGAGAAAACCCAGAGTACTGTCAGAAACACATGGCAAAAAGTTGAAGCCAGGTGTGGTTTTCAAATTCTTTTTAAAGCCTCAGAAAAATCTAGATGAAGTCTGAGAAAATCACTCACTCAAACAATAAAGCTTTTAAGAAGCATAAGACTATTGTTCCTCAGCAGTTTAGAAAGGATGCCAAGGTCAAAACGGGTTATCTTAAAGACATTTCTAGGTATGGCTTTGGTAAGATGGAATACTCTACAATAAGATTCATGGGAGACCCACACAATTTTTCAAGACAAGTGTAGCAGCAGATGAACCACTAGCTTTGACTGAAAAGGAAAGAGTCAGTTCAAAAAGAAATGGCTTCTTAAGACCCATAAATTTCTATAAGTAACAAGCAGCTGAGGAAACTACTCGGATTGGAGCACTGGCCACATTTCATGGGGGGAAAAATAGATGACTCAGAAGATCCAGGAAGGCAGAGACAGAAGGCATGTGGAATTACTCACACAGCTTGAGACCTGCTTAAGGAAGCACCAGTATGCGTCCTGGGAAATTTCAGAATTGCTATGGAGCAGTAGCTGCCATATGTTTGTGTTGTAAATGGAAATGTGCCATGGTGGTTATTTTGTGCCCCTCGCACCATTATACGTTGCCGTTGTGTTGTTCTTCTAGCTCATAGGTCTTCAGATCAAGATAGGCTGAACCTAAGCAGTTGAACTTCAGTAACAACACCAACGAGATTTGGAAAGAGAGTGAGTTGAGTGTATTTTGCATGCAAGAGGATACTTTTTTTTTTCTAACCAAGGTAAGAATTCTATTTTTTACTTTTATTTTTTTTAGAGACAGGATTTTGTTCTGTTGCCCAGGCTGGAATACAGTGGCAGGATTACAGCTCACTGCAGCCTCAAACTCCTGGGTTCAAGTCATCTTCCCAAGTAGCTAGAACTACACATGTGTGCCACCATACTCAGCTAATTTTTTAAAAGCTTTTTGTAGAGACAGTCTCCTGCTATGTTGTCCATGTTGGCCTCAAACTCCTAGGCTCTAGCAATTCTTCCACCTCACCTTCGCAAGACACTGGGATTACAGCCATGAGCCACCATGCCCAGCCAAGGAAATAAATTTTAATCAAATTTTTATAAACTGGAATATCTCTAATTTGGCTTTTAGAGTGTTCTATTACAGACGGTTATGATATACATGGGGGTATGGATTAAACAGCATTCCCTGCCCCCACAAAAATTCATATGTCGAAGCCCTAATCCCCTATGTAACTACTTGGAATAAGGAAGTAACTAAGGTTAAATTAAGGCATAAGGTGGAGCCCTGATCCAGCAGAATTAGTGTCCCTGTGAGACCCCAGAGAGCTCACTCCCTCTTTCTCCACCACATGAGAACACAGCAAGAAAGCAGCCATTTCCAAGCCAGGAAGAGAGCCCTCCCCAGGATCCAAATTATCAGGCACCTCGACCTTGGATTTCCCATGCTATAGAGCTATAAGAAAGTAAATTTATGTTGTTTAAGCACCCCCCCTAGTCTGGTATTTTGTTCTGGCAGTGATATCATTAATCTGAAACCCTAAGATCCTTGAGAATAAAAGAAATGATGATTTGGGCCTCATCACAGCTTGTTTATGAGTTTTGAGGCCATAGTTCCTAAACCGTATGACTTTGTCAGCCTCCGGGTTTTAACGGGGGACACGATGTAACAAAGGCACTTTTACCGTGAAGCTATAAAGTTTAAGGCATTTTTGGATCCAGCTCAAGGAAGACTGAGTTAGAGGTACTTTCAGTTTGAGTTTTACTAGGATATAACTGCATGGCTCTTTGTCAAATCCAATAAGTGATTGCTCACCCAAGCAATAACAGAGGAATGCCTCGGAAGTGTGCCCCTCTACAACCATGTCAAATACTTGACATCAGGATGCCAGGTGTAGCAGGCCATGGTATGCCCAGCTCAGCTTCTCAATCTTGTTTAGAAAGTAACCCCTTTAATAGCATCTGAAGGTGTCGAACTCTTCAGCATTTTGCAAGTTTGTGTTTTCATTTTGAGGTTGTCTCCTAGATTTAAAAACGCACGTGAACAGTTGAATTTTTCTTTAGACTAAGTATCACAAAATGGCCTGCTCACTACAGTATTCAAGCCTTAGAAATTGGGTTTCGCAGTGTTTTAAGGACTCCCAGATATACAATATATATTTAATACTTAAAAGAGAAAGACAAACACAAATAAGATGGAATAAGTTTATTTGAAAGATACATAAAGCCTGAATGTACCATTATAATCTAATTTGAAGGATGTTTTGGAAAGTTGCAATGAAATTGGAAATTATGAGCTCCTTATTTATACACATAGAATGGTCATGTTTCAACCATTTTAAGTGTATTTATTAAATAGAACATGAGAGAAATACAGGCATAATATTAATGGAATATAAAACAAAATAAAGAGATATGTGTTGAGAATAAAATACTTTATCATCTGACAATGAGACTAAAATGTAAAACCCATTTTTTCAGATCAAACCAAAAGCAGTAATTTATTGCAGCTGAGAAATAAATTTCAAGGAGAAGCCACGAAAAGGCTGTAGAATTATTTGATAATAAGAAGAAGAAAGAGGAGGGGATCATAGACACCCACTGTGAAAAGATTTAAAATCTTGCTGAATTTACATAAAATACGGGCACTAAGTTAAAATGAAACATATTGGGCCACCAGAAATGGGATGTTTTTGATAAATGGGTTAATGAGTCACATTAATCAATCTAATTAATCATAAGTAAATGAAAACTTTTTAAAAAATCTTGAAAGTCCTTGTAATCTTATAAATTATGTATTTTTATAACAGATAACTGATATTTTACTTGTAGTATAAGTTTTTTGATAGAAGGTTTCACAAATTGAACAACAGCCTTAAATTTACATGCCATTACCAATAATAAGTTGTAAGACTAAAAGACTTTTTTGAAACTATTAATTTTAAAATATTATATTCTTCAGAAAAATTAAATTTTACTATTCATTTAATTAAATAAAGATACAATAAACTTTTGCACTTGAGAAGATGCTCAATTAGAATTCTAACAATTTTTTTAAATTCTTCGGTTAGGTAAGGCAGCTAATTTTTACAAAATTATGTTACTTTGCTGAAATTTATAATATTGTCATATTTGTATACTTTTATAAAGATTGCAATGTGTTTGATTTATTTTTCTTTCTAAATAAAATTTCACTTTATAATTTATTTTATACTTTTTTTGTGTGTGATGTAGTCTTGTTTTGTAGCCCAGGCTGGAGTGCCGTGGCATGATCTTGGCTTACTGCAACCTCTGCCTCCCAGGTTCAAATGATTCTCTTGCCTCAGCCTCCCAAGTAGCTTAAACTAAAGGCATGCATCACTATGCCTGGCTAATTTTTTATATTTTTAGTAGAGACTGGATTTCACCATGTTGGCGAGGCTGGTCTCGAACTCCTGACCTCAGGTGATCTGCCTGCCTTGGGCTCCCAAAGTGCTGGGATTACAGGTGTGAGCCACGTGCCTGGCCTATGCTTTCAGTATTTTGTCATCTTAAAGAGGGTCCTCAAAAATGTGTGTTTCTGGCCCTACAAAATGGAATCAATCCACAGTGCAAAGTAACATTTATGACTAGGTACTGGTTCACTTTCAAAAAATATATGGAGAAAATGGAGTTACTTCACTCTATCTTTTTACTTTACTGTTTTATAGCTATTTAAAAATGCATTACAATTCCCCCAAATAGATTATACTGTGTTAAACTCCATTTTTTTTAAAGTGAAGGCAAAATTATTAAAGTATGGATCTCTTTAAATAAGAAAAGGAACAAAAATGAGGACATAAGACATATTTATTTCAGATAATATGCAATTTAAGAATAAAGATCTGGCAAAATAAGAGAAAAAAATACTTCCCAAGTGGTTATGGTTGGAGGGATATGGATGTTAGACTCAATGAAAAAAAAAAGAAAAAGGAGAGATGAGAAGCCTTTTTCAATCCCCTCAGAGCCAAACCGAATCTTTCCAATCATCCTCACCTTGGGAGGATGGGCTGTCTGCCCCTGGCCAGAACCACAGTAGTGCGGATGTGGGACACACCACAATACTAACACGAGGCATTTGAAGACTAGCTGGGCCACTTTCATGTGAAGTCGGATTGAAGTCTCTGGTTGATAGAAGAGTTATATCTAGATAGAATGGTTTTTGTGGATGATGCCATAGAATTTAGCTACATGGTTGCTTCCCATGGGAGGGCTTTTAACAGTCATTAAAATAGTTCCATGTTGTGAATATAACAAGAATCTCTGCTTTGGTCCAAGCCAACAAATTGATTTTCACATTAAATAATAGACTGAATATAATATTTTTAGAGTGAATATGATATATTGTAGCATCACTGCTGGAACTTATCAACAAGAACACTAATGCATGTTTTTCTATAAAGATTTTTTTTCAAGTGTAATTCTCTTTTATGAGCTGCTTAACCTATCATATGCTTGAGATACGTGACACTTTATTAAATGCTTAACAGCGGAAGCATTTTAGAAAAATATCAAGTGGAGCTAAAACATAAAAAGAAAAAGAAGAGGGTGATGAGGAGAAAGAGAGGATGGAAAAAGAAGAAAGATGTGGCCGTCTCTGCAAGCTTTATAATATCACAGAGGAACTCGAGATAAAGCTCCATGAAGACAATGAGCAAACCATACATGATCAACCCACAATACAGACATTCTAGAGACTCCGATAAATGGATAACACAGCCTGTCTGTAATTCTGATTATCTGGTTTCAAAGAGAACCTAATCAACTTGTCAGCTGGTAGACTACATTTTTTAAATAATGGATGATTGATATTTTTATCTAATTCAGAAAACATTTCGAATACGTCAGCGAAATTCTGTAATACTTCAAACTTTCTCAAAGCCTACATTTTAAAAAGTTGTCAATAATAGGTTGGATGATACACTTACTGCATTCTGTTAACTATGTATTAATTGTATAAACTAATAAAAAAATTTCATCTATCTTATTAGGATAGGAATTTCAAATCAAACTGCATATTTTTATTTGCTAAATATAAAATTGTATATGTGTGTTATTGGGATCAGCCTTGTACAAATAGTAATTATAATGACAATCCAATATAGAAAAATGTAACACTTAGAGCTGCATGGGCAAAATTAAAATATTTTGCTTTCAATTTATGTATTTCCTTCACAGAAGGAATTACGAAACAATCAATAAGAATGTTTTGAGTAAAGATTACATTAAGATAAAACCTATGGAGAAATAAAATTGGAATACAAGTTCAAAGAGAAAAAGGAACAATGTCCAATTTCCTGTAATTGAAGAGCTTGTTTGTGTTTTTCTTTTAATAGGTGGTGGTCAGTATCAAATCACTTCGTTATTGACATTTCACTGACTACATTTCGTAGAACAAGTTCATAGTTTCATTTTTATCTGTCCATAGTATCCTGAAATTTGCATCATTTGCAACTATTTCAGCATATGAAGAAAAATTTTGTATGTCCGTTAAAAATGACTGAGAGTTTGCATTTTGCAAAACAACAGGATACAACAGTGACAAACATTTGGAGATCAATGTTCTAAAGCATCCTGAAACATCCTTTCTCCCACAAAATTACCTGAAAATTCACATACTTTTTATTCATTTGAATAGCTTTGTCACTTTTCTCAAAATAGTGATCAATGAGAAATTCGCTTTATTATATGTTTCTATGATGGACTATGTATTATTTTGTTGAATTAAATAACAATTCATCACCATTTTAAATGATTTTCTTTCTTGAAGCTATTATTTCTGATGAAGTTCACTTTGTTTGGATTTAGAAAATCCACTCGGAGGGAATGTTTACCTTTCCTTTAATAATATGCTTTATACACGTTTTAACAGTAATCTTACAGCATTTTACAAATATGTATTTATTTATTCATTCATTCATTTATTTAATTATTTTAGAGACAGTGTCTCTATCATCCAGGCTGGAGTGCAGTGGCAAAATCTCAACTCACTGCAACTTCCTCCTCCCAGGTTCAAGCGATTCTCCTACCTCAGCCTCCAGAGTAGCTGGGATCACAGGCGTGCACCACCACACCCCACTAATTTTTGTATTTTTAGTAGAGATCAGGTGTCACCATGTTGGCCGGACTAGTCTTGAACTCCTGATCTCAAGTGATCCGCTTGCCTAGGCCTCCCAAAGTGCTGGGATTATAGGAGTGAGCCACCGCGCCTGGCCTAAAAATGGCATTCTTAGCATCTAGTAATCTTACAACATTTTAACAGACACACACACACATACACACACACTTAAGGACCTTTAGCTTTTAGCACATTAGAAATATATTAGGAGTTATTTTAAATATTAGCTTCATTAGACATACAAAATAAAAGAAATAAAATTACAGTAGATAATTGAAACTTGTAGTACATAGCGCGTAGATGTAACCATCTGGACTCAAACTGGGAGGAGCAAAATATAATCTTAACTGATACGTTCTGTTCTGAACAGATGTTTCCAACCCCACATGGAGGATGTGAATCTCTTAAAATAACACATTTCCAGGAGCAACATTAGAATTATCAGCAACACATTGCTGCTCACTAACCCTAAAGAAAGAGTAAATACAGACAGAATTTCATAAGTGCCTTCAAGATGGGAGAGGATTGTAATTTACTCTTCAGGATATTTTGCTATATGTGATAAGTGCCCAGTAAATATGTGTAAATGCAGCTGTACCCACAATTCTGTTCAGAAGTTTCCATATCCTGAAACTAAGGCAGGTCATGTGTGCATGTGGGTATGTGCTAACCATTCTAAATCAAAGGCGTGTCACCCCTGCCGAAGCCCTCGCTGTCAAGAACTCTCAGCATTCCTTCTCTCGGTTGAAATCCGGGACTAACGTTTCCTCTATTCAGAAACATTCAGTTCTTTCTTGCCCGTGCATGGCTAAGTGATCTTGTCCTTCAGATGAGATCCTGCATCCAGCTCCTTTGCCTGCATGTAACTTTTTCTTGCTTCCGGTGTGACGAATAAACCAGCAGTCATCTTGCTTTTAACCATCACCCAGAGTATTTAAAAGGGAAAAGTGGGAGGCGTCAAAAAAACAGGGGGACATGAAAGACATAGGACAAAAGTAATCATGGATAAAGACTTCCATCTGCTGCACGTGAAACAGTGTCTGTTTACTCTGGACTTTGATGGGTGCCTGTTCTCTACAGCAGGAATGAAGCAAAAAGTGAAACCATAATTCCTCCCCAGAGTGACAGCATTCTGGCCTGGGGAGCCGAAGTGTGCACATGAATCAGTCGCCGTTTCAGGCTAACATGACTGGAGAAGCAGACAGCACCTGGAGACCGGGTCTGGAAAGTGAACCCCACACTAAGTGTACTGAAGTGTGCAAGGGTCTTGGATGGAAAACTAGAATCCCTATTTTTAAAAAAAATCATGGGCATCTAAGGAAAAGAAAATACAGGCTCCAAGTTTTTGAATTAAAGGGGCTTTAGAGCCTGCTAAGCTGACTGACTTGATTCATCCAGAGGTCAGGTGATGTTAAGTGGCATGTCCACAGTGGAGACGCCAGACTCTGATAGGAACCCACTTCTTCGGATCCTTCTAACTTCCCTATGGGGTGAGGCGGGGAGTGAGGAGTTAAGATTGGGAAGCTCAGATGAAACTCTACAATCTAAAAGAGGATTCATTAAAGAATATGGGCCAAAGGGTTCAAAATCTATCACTTTCTCAAAACACAGTGATAATTTATTGCAGAAATAGGCTGAGAAAAATTAGGGTTCAAATGGAAAATCAGAGAGCATTTAGGAGAACATTAGAGGCCCAAACCAAAATGGGCTTTGTTTTGTTTAATTTGGTTATGTTTTGCAATGAGCAAAGTGCTCGGAAAAGGGCCCCATCCTTGAAGTAGGGGGAGAAAGGGCCTTGGGGAGGGTTGGAGGATAGAGGGACGAGAACAGGACGGGGGCGGCAAGGACAGGCAGGGACTCTGCCCCAGGGAGAAGCTTATTCGACGCAATTCCGCACAGTGGGCCCGGGTTGTGTGTCGACCAAGTCGCCCATCGCTCAAGAATCCTTAGTGCAGTGAGCGAGCATAGGGCCTTCAAACTGCTGTCCAGGGGACATTCCTAGTGTGAGGCCAGGCGGGTCCCAATACGAAGGAGAAGAGGGGCTCTGTGTTCCAGGAGCAGGTCTTTGGAGGAGAAAGTCCAGAGATCCTTGCGCAGTGAGAGCAGGTGCCCTTGTGCAGGGAGTCATAGGCTTGGGCTGGTCCAGAGATTTGGGGACAACCCCAGGGCCACTCATCTTTCCAAGGAGGGTCTATTTGTCTACGCCAGATCCTTAGAGCAATACTTCTGTCTCAGAACCTCTTCTCAATCCATCCGTGCTCCATCTCTAAATCTGGCAGGTGGCCCTCAGCACACATCTGCCTCCTGCCTCCCAGGCCCACCCAGCTGTGAGAATTATCCTATGCTGTGTTCCAACAGAGCCCAGGACTTCGTCCTCGTCCTGAGGTCCTGGGGCAGGAGCGCTGTCCTGGCTCCACCAGAAACCATCTGGTGTGGGTGGAAGGGGAGTTACTCGGTATTCCCAGTGGCTATTACCTCCTGTGTAAAGTCAGGGTGAATTTCTAAGCCCTTCACTAACTTTCAGTTTTGATGCTATGACTAAGAGGACCTTTGTTTTGTTTCATTTGGTTTTTCAAAATGAGTTGTGTGTGAATTTTTTTACTATGCCAGAGTCCAAGCAGAAAAGAAACCAACAGAAGGAGGATCTTCTATGACGGCTTCTTGTTAACATTTAATGCAAATAGAGACCTTCTACGAGACTCAAGACCAGGGCTGGCCCAGCCGTGGTGCATAGTGATGCTGAAGAGAAGGAGGTGGGCTCTGAACCCCTCCAACAGTTTCAGGCCTGTCTCCAAAATGTACAAGGTTGTAGCTTTGGGAAAACCACTCAGCCTTTTGACACCTCAATAATTTTATCTATAAAATGTAAATAAACTGTGCATCCTACCCAGAAGGAATGTTGTAAAACCAAAATGAAGTATTGCACGGAAACGGGTAGAAAAAGTGTCTGGCTCATGGTAGGTTCTCCATGTCTCTTCTGATTGCATGGTCAAGACTTGGAAGATGGGAGTTAATGCTGTGCACTGAGCATACTGAGGCCAGAGAGCGCTCAAGCAAGGCCAGGCAAGAAAGCAGCATGGTGAATCCTGGGTAAGCGTGGTGGGAGATGAGTGACATTCTGATATGCTGCAGAGAGAAATAGAGGGAGTGGCTCCCCTTCTCACAAGGGTGTCCTGGTATCCCGGACTGGACTAGTCAACCCTCCACCTCACCCTCTGCTGTCCCCCTGTCTGGCTATAGTAATTGGAGGAAAGGTAAGCACTTCATACAACAGAGCAGTAACAGCCCCTCTCCCCAAGGTAGCTGTCCACTGCAGGGGCCACAGGGCCATGTCCCAGTGGGAAGCTGCCCTGTGATTTTCTGAAATTTCCAAATTGAAACTCAGAAGTCCTGGCCAGGCGTGGTGGCTCATGCCTATAATCCTAGCACTTTGGGAGGCCAAGGCGGGTGGATCACTTGAGGTCAGGAGTTCGAGGCCAGCATGGCCAATGTGGCGAAATCCCTTCTCTACTAAAAATTAAAAAAAAAAAATTATACAGGCGTTGTGGCGCATGCCTGTAGTCCCCGCTACTCAGGAGGCTGAGGCAGTAGAATTGCTTGAACCCAGGATGTGGAGGCTGTAGTGAGCAGAGATCCAGCCTGGGTGACAGAGTGAGATTCCGTCCCAAAAAAAGGTCCTTTTAGGAGTCCAGAGATGTTGGCAGCTATGAACCAATGTAGTTTTACAGAAAATCCAACCCAGAAGTCAAAATCTGAGTAATCAGCAGTTCATTCCTGTTGGCATCTGATTGTCCCTATAGTCAGTGCCTCTCTTGACCCATTCCTTTCCTAACCCTTACATGATCTGGTTTGAGTTATATGCAACCAAAGAGACTTGACTAGCACACCTTCTGCTGGCTCACTCTCAGCCTAATACCACCACTACTAAAACTCATAACACTCTGTTTCAACACAGAAATAGAAATACTTACAAAAATATGTTGCTTTGACTACCTCCATCTCTATGCATTAGAATGCATAATATGAAACTCTATATGATAAAGTATATAAAATGTCCAAGTGACATTTCATTCCAACACAGAGCTGTCTTTTGGTCCTGATTTCGAACGCACAGTGCCAGCCAGGATGCAAACTTTGACCCCTGGGGTACTCCTCAGCACTGCCTCTTCTCACTGTCCTGATTTGAACACTTGGCTGGCTGGAAACCCTCTTAAACAATGGATAAATGAGATTCCCCAAACATGTTTAGCTCAGCTTCCTAAGAGTGTAGAAATATGATTCTCTAATACTGGACATCAGATTCAAAACACAAACCAGTGAGAATAGAATCTCCTTATGGATCCCTGTTAATTAAATCTACCAGTTTCCTGGTAGGAAAAGTCTTATGGAGCACAATTTTAGCAATTTACCTGAAATTTAGCAATTTACCTGAAGTCTCCAAGGTGGGGAAAAAGACGTGGCAATGGCCTGACTTAAAACAGGTAGCAATCTCCCAACACGCTGAAAATCCCTCCAGCTTGATTTTCTGGCCTCCTGAAAATCCTCTCTCAGATACACTGTGCAGTCCTCCAGATGAAGCAGGAATTCAGCTTGTTAACATATAAATCTTTGTGTACAAAGATGATTGGAACTAAATAATTATTTTACCCTGAAGATATAAAGGTATTACAAAAAGCAGATATTTTTCTTTATGTAGGGGTTAGAGAAAGTGAAAAAAACTAAAAGCATTCAATATTCTGTCTGACATATTAAAATGTGGATGCTTAAATTAATATGGGGTAAAAAGTAAAAGACATATGTATGTGTATATATATACGTATATATATATACGTATATATACGTATATATATATACGTATATATATATACGTATATATATACGTATATATATATACGTATATATATACACACACACACACACACACATGCACACACACACATATATTTTTTGAGACAGAGTTTCGCTCTTGCTCAGGATGCAGTGCGATGGCGCTGTCTTGGCTCACTGCAACCTCTGCCTCCCGGCTTCATGCTATTCTCCTGCCTCAGCCTCCTGAGTAGCTGGGATTACAGGCGCCCACCACCATGCTCAGCTAATTTTTGTATTTTTAGTAGAGACAGGGTTTCACCATGTTGGCCAGGCTGGCCTTGAACTCCTGAGCTCAGGTGATCTGCCTGCCTCTGCCTCCCAAAGTGCTTGGATTATAGGTGTGAGCCGCGGTGCCTGGCCAAGAGACAAAAATATTAAGGAAATAATTTACCTTTGAAAATATATCCTGACATCGGTTTTTTCCTTTATTTTTCTAAAGAGATCAACAATGACACAGGAAACTGCTTTGACATAATCAACAAACTAGAAATTGATGTCAGTGGTATCCTTTTTAAAATGACTAACTTACTTTCAGTGATTTTAAAATTGTTTTCTTCTATATTTATCATAGACTATTATTCCTAGTGCCTGCCTAGTCCCTATTACTAGAATTTAATCAGCAAGCTTTCCTCCAAATTAGGCAGTATATCCCATTCATTTCCAATAGATACATAAAATCAAAATGGGTCAAATTGTGCAGCTTATTGCTTAGTTTATAATAAATATTTCTATCTGTAGGCAGCAATCATGATTTAGAAACAGAGGCACATAGTACGTAACAGCAAATAACTAAAATAAACTAAATAACCCTTCAGTTCATTTCTTGGAATAAAAGTTTAACTTGAGATCTCCTCGTGTGTAATATCAATTGCTTGAAAATGAAGAGAAGAATATTTTTACAAAGAATAACTTACGGTTTTAAATAAGGTATTGTTTCTATTAAAGTGGACTTAATTTAAAGTTATAAAAATTAATTCAAAAATATTTTTTCCTCTTAAGAAGGAATCTTCCTATTGCATCACTCTATCAACAAATGGAAGAAATAAACTAAAATAAATATGGATTCCACAGTGTTTACATGCAACTTAAACACAGCATATCATTGTCTGGTAAAATATTTGTAGTGCCGATCAGAGTACAGACTTGAGGATGCTACTTGAAATAAACAAACGCTTATCTAAATCTCGGAGGCCTGCAAAATTAAGTTTGGGATTTCCCAGCAGCGGGGAGCAGGCTTCCTACAAGCGTCTGGACTTGGATCTGCACTTGGGACCATGAATCTCTGGAGCCTGGCCTACTGGACGCAGATGTCACCAACGCCATTCTGCCTTCCTCACCGTCATCAGAGGCTGCTGAGCAGTAGTGCCCTGCTTTGCACCTTCAGAGATCAGCAAATAAGGTTTATTGTGCAGGACACAAGCTTCAGCTGGTGTTTATCGGTCGCACTAAGCCGCGTGAGATGTTCTCAGTTCCTATTGCTCCTTCTGCAGTAACTATTGATGTGCAATTTCTAAAGCTCATCTTCAAAGTACACGGCATGGAGTCTGAGATCCTTCAAACAACTTCTCCCTTTCGCATTCCTCACGCCACTATTTCTAGCAGGCAGTTACGTCTAGTCTCTGAGGTGGACATGTAAAGGCTCAAGGTCTCCGATTTCCTGCGACGGCCTTCTCTTTTGATGTCCAAATCAAGATATGAACAAGCCTTTGAGGACCACTGCATAAGGCTGGGCCCTGTCAGTTCATTCAAGTACCTCCATTAATACTTGTTGAGCAAATGTATAATCTACCCATTAATTAGGTTCCATGCGGCTAAATCAGCAAAGGTGAGAATCTGTAGAGCTGACTTAGGCCGCCCTTCTAAGAACCTGGTTATTTTATTGCTGACATGCAATTTCTAGTTTGCTTTTGTTGCATTGGGTGCTGACTAAAACGTTCGTTTTTAAATAAAAATACATAAGTGTTCTGACTTTTCTCAATTTACTTCTTCAAGGCAATACAGTAGAATACTATTACTTGGATTTTTAAGTAAAATACTATAAAAGAAGAAAAAACAAAAAGAAAAACATCGTTCTCTAAAAACAAAACAATTCTATTCAGTCACCACCCCTGCTTTCATAAGGAGGCACATATGTATTTCTAGTCACCAATGTTGACATTATTAAAAGTTTTCCATTGTCATTTTCTATTTTGAGGAAGAGAAATATTGTGCAATATTTATCATTCAATGCAGCCAATGCTCAAGTGTCCAGCTCAATAGCCCTTCAGCTCCCTGCATAGTGGTCCCTGTAGCACTTCACATTTAAAAACTATTCTATACGTTAAATCAGTTCATCACCATCAGAACCTTAGGAGGCCCAAAGAATACTATGCCCCAGGGCACCTAGCAAACTGCAAAGTACTTGAATTAAATTATTTCCCCTGAAGCAACCACCATTGCACCTATGCCATGTGATAACCTGATCAAAGAGATTTGTGTTTCATCAGGAGTCAAGGATAAAATTGGTAACGGATTGAGAGATGCTTGTGAGCAGTGTGCAGTAATAATTAGGAATGAAGTAGTTAGCTTTTTGTCACTTGGATGATCAGCAATTGGCCGCTAGATGCTTTTGAAGCAACAGTTTATTTGTATGTCATAGATCTTGGTGAAAACAATCTCACTGGTATTATCAGTGAGCAGATCTTTCAAAAATGAAATGGGAGCCCCATCAATGAGTTGCACACACTACCCTTTTAGGACAGAAGGGAGACATACACTTGGTGTTTTGTGCTGAGGATATTTGTGATTGTGCCAGGAGTTCAGAGCTGTAACTCATTGCCATAAAACCCCATGTTTTTTCTTACAAATAGATGGGCCAAACCAGCATGCTCACTGTTTGTAGAATACTTGTAATTGTTTACACAATCCTTGTAATTTCTTCCAGTGATGAGGGATGATGTTCCCCAGCGGAGAGAGGAGGGAGAGGCTGAACCAAGCGACTGTGAGGTGTCTCAGACATTCGTGCAGCAAACGTGGTACCAAAGGACTCACACAAGGTCTTCTGTGCACACAGGCACCTGCTCAGTCCTGTTCCAGGGTCAGGTTCTGGGCATAGAGACAAGAAGCAGATGGGACTGGAAGCTATGACTGTTCCCTCCCCGTTCCTTCCAACTCCTGCTCTAACCACACACCCTGTGCACTGTACAGATGCAGAGATGATGTCACCACTGTGGGTGTTTGAACACTGGATCCAGAAGTGGGGATGGCACTCAGGTCCCCCACCACCATCCTTGCCTTGGGCACCTTCCTTGTTGAGGTCCCCATGATGAGATGAAGAAAAGCTTCAAGGACCAACAGTGAGCAGAGATGTTGGGTTCACCCACTAACCCATTTCTCTGCCCCTGAGTCAGATTCCAGTTCTTTGGCTGCCTGCACCAGGGGCACCAGGCTGCCACCACCCAGCAGGCTCATCAGCCTCAGAGAACTATCCAGACCTGAGAGTCCCAAAGGGCAATTCCAACAGGGAAACCTGTAGAACCAGCAATGATTTAAAACAAAAAAAAAAAAAGCAAATAAACCCCTCAGAAATGCAGGCCGTTTCCTCATCTTCATTTTGGACCTGTCTTCCTTGCAAATTCCTTCCAAGAAGAGAAGACTCTTCCCGCTCTAGCTGTCTCTGCTTTGCCGAGGTTACTTGGTCATTGGTGGTATTACCCACTTCAATACGGAATTAGCAGCAATGTCTCCTCCAATGTGTACTTACAGAGAATGACAAATGCTTCATGTGAATACAATAAGAAAATGCTTGTGTACTTTCAGCACCTAGCACCTGCCCCTGGGGAGTGCAAATGAAGTGGTACAGTTCCCCCGATTTCAATAATTTATTACATCTTTGCTATAAATGAATGAAGAGGAAAGCCACTCATTATCCATTTTGAGACGTGAACAAGGACTAAAGGCAGAGCCATGGGCTGCACAAAACAAAAAATGATTGGGATTGGAACCTTCGGCTCTCAGATGTTTCACCTGAGAGTGCTCTTCCAGCGCCCAGGAGCCCACGGCAGCAGCGTGAGCCGAGTCACGCACAGCCACCCTCCTAGGAACCTGATATTTTAAAATCACCAAGGATTTTAATTAAAAGGAAATTCCATGTACAAAAGTAAAATACATATTTCCTTTTTATTCTCTCCTCAGAAGGATCTCACGATAGAGCTTTGTTCAATTCTCTTGGGGTATCTTTAAGACATGAGTCACAAGTACGGCAGGAGAGCCTCCTTTCTGTGATGCTGTTGGTCTGCAGTGCTCACGTGCAACGAGTGAGCCCGTCTTTCCCAGCGAGGGCCATGGGGGCTCTTCCTGTGTTTGCGTCCCTGCACTGAAGCCATAAATGCACTGCCATAGCCATTCATTCCCACCTATCCCACTCGGTGTTCCTGTATCTGAGTTTACTTCTGCAGCCCCTCAAAGGCTCTTGGTATGTCCCAGAGTGAGTTAACTTGCTGTTGAAAGTCTGGATGCATCTGTTGAAGGTAGCTGACCTCTTTTCTGTAACTACCCCAATGTCTCCCCATCTCCTACCTCAGGACGCACATGTTATCTCGTGGCTAGTCCATTCAGAAAGCCTATGGAGGTGGCTGCCAGCTTAATGAATTGAATCCTAATAACCAAGGAGAGCTCAACATTTGAGAAATTAATATATTTTCAATCATCAAGGTCTACATTGTACCAAATTGTGTTTGTCTAGTGGCTAGGATTGATATTAATGTTTGAGTAAAACTAATTAGATGAGAAAGAGAAAGTTGAAAATGATCAGCATGAAAACTGACTCACTGGAGAGATCTCAAGCCAAAGGCATCCTGAGAAGATGTTTCTGCACTGGCCATTTCTAACTATCTAGCATGGACTGAAGTATCATGGTAGCAAGGGTGAAACTATGTTTTCAGATTAAACAAAAGAAATCCATGATAATATTGTCCCACCCCGTTAAATATTTTGCTACTGAAAAAAAAGATTTTACCTACAATAAAACACTCAGGTGAACCTTTTTTATGCAAAATGGACAGAGTCTTAACCTAAAACACCTAAGTATTATTTAAATTTCTTATTTTATTTTATTTTATTTTATTTTATTTTATTTTATTTTATTTTATTTTATTTTTTTGAGACGGAGTCTCGCTCTGTCACCCAGGCTGGAGTGCAGTGGCCTGATCTCGGCTCACTGCAAGCTCCGCTTCCCGGGTTCACACCATTCTCCTCCTGCCTCAGCCTCCCAAATAGCTGGGACCACAGGCGCTCGCCACCACACCTGGCTAATTTTTTATATTTTTAGTAGAGATGGCGTTTCACCGTGTTAGCCAGGATGGTCTCGATCTCCTGACCTCGTGATCCGCCCGCCTCGGCCTCCCAAAGTGCTGGGATTACAGGCGTGAGCCAACGCGCCTGGCCCCTATTTAAATTTCTTATGCTTCTTATGGATAAGTCAAAAAATATATCTTTGATTCTGAACTTAATAGAGCCATATGGCCAATCATAAAAAAAATACACCTCTCTCAACATTTTTACTGAGGAGGAGCAGGTTGAGGAGCGTGGATCCAGGCTAGCCCTCCTGGGCAAGCCGGGCAGAATCTGTTCAGGAAACATCTCTTTAAAAATAGCAGCAAGAGTTTCCCTTTTCATTTAGACATTGGTTTACCTACCCTCCACTAACAGCCTGTTAAAATACCATCCAAATGACTGACATATTTGCAAAAATCATTGCAGTTCTCAGCCTCGTGGGAGGCCTCACTGAGAAAGCAATATGTGGCTGTCTTTGAGGTAAAGGCTTACCTAGAACCTCAGACCCAACGCTGGAAGATGCCACACACCCCAGGAACAGAGGGTTGCCCTTCTAGGAAGTGCCATTTCCTGTCTGTATCCTTCTCTCTCACCTGAAAGAGCCAGAACAACCCAGGGAACAGGGGCCGCCAGTCCTGCAGGGAGTCTCCTACATCATGACCTCATTACGTGCCTGTCCCCGAAGCTGTATTACTTTGCTCCCGATTCCCAGATTCTGGCCTATGTTTTCTTCATCAGGTTTATCTTGATGCCTGTCATGCAGTATTCCTTGAAAGTCAGCATCCCTCAAATTCTTGTCATTCCCAGGAGAAATGGACTGTGTTTCAACAACCTCAGGCACCTTCTATTACGTGGAGGGAAGGAGAAAGCCCGGCTCATTCACACACTGCTGTGTCCTGTTTTTGTCTGGGCTGTGCGACCTTTGACAGAGTGGTGGACCTGGGCCATGTGGGAGAGGGCCCCACAGCTGCTCAATGGGAGTGACACAATTCCCTGGGATGTTGGAGCCAGGCTGCCACGGAATGTAGACTGGGACCCAGAGCTGATGTCACAACCACAGAGTTCACTATTCATTGAACGCAGGATTCTTAAGTTTCCATCAGGGTTAAGGCGCTGCACAGAGACTCCGAGAGTAAAACATGCAATAGAGGCACGGCTGTTCGCTGAGCCTACCCTGCAATAGAAGTGCGCAGGATTAAAATAGAAAGAAGCGCATAAATAGCAATTTGAGGGACCAGACGGTGCATGATGGGAGCATGCCAGAAAAACAGAAAATCGCTGGTGTTCCCTCTGCACAGGCCAATACATAGGTGCTTGTGGATAGTCTACAGTCAAAATGCTGGTTCCCAATTAAGTACATTCATTATTTAGGGATCTAATTAATTTAAGTCGTATTAATAAATATCTGTGCAATCTTAACTTGGACAGGTCACTTAAACTCCCTGGTCTCTCTTACCTTCTCTGAATAAGGATGTTAAAATTGATGAGCATGAAATTTCCTTCTAACATTATGATTCTAAGATTCAGCAATAATAATAGAAATCAAGGTGATTATCCCTGATCTAATTAAGGTGTAATTAGGAAGCAGACGATGTGCCGGTGGTGATGGCGGCTGATGGTTTCTCTGCCTGCTGAGTGTCGCGCGCGTACAACTTGCTCTCCGAAATGGATTTTGAGTTTGGAGTAGCGCGCTGATTGCGAGACATTGTTATTCTGAACCCCCGTGTCTGCTAAGTGGCATTCAATTAGTCACATGAAATGCTGACTCATCCACCGTCGAAGTCTTCATTCAGAAGAGAAATGTCCATTCAAGCCAGATTCAGCGAAATTCGTAAGAAAAGAAGTTGACTGGGGTTTTCGGTTCAGAATGGAACAGGCAGGAAACTAAGAACATGCTTTGCTTATTTCAGTCCTTTAAGAACTTTATTTTTTTCTTTGGAGATTGTACATATACACGTTCACTTAGCACCTATACATTTATAGATTTCGATTTCATCATGATAATTTTGGAAAATCAAGGGGTAATGGGTTTCCTTTTAAAAAAAGAAATGTAACTGTGGAAAAAAAGAGATATATCTCATCTCTGAGAATCAAATTTACTTGAGGTTTTAGAGAATATATACATTTTTAATAATTAAAAAGTTATATTATTAGTTAGAATGCAAGTTTGGCAGAAATATTAGGATAAAGCAGGAGACTGTGGAAACAATCTCTTGTGGCCGACGACACTGGACCCCTTCACCGTCCCCCATAAGACGTCTGTCCAGTTTTGTCAGGAAAGCCATCGATTTGCTCATTAGAAGCTGCAGCTCAGTGTGTTGTCCTGAGAGAGCTCTGCAGCTGAGATGGCAGCTCTCCCCTGTGGGCTGTCTAGTGAGCGTCCGTTCTAGTCTTGGTGGCTGCTGAGAGAGGACATGCAGAGTCCTACCTCAGTGTGCAGCTGTGCCATTCACTAGCTGTTTGCTGGCTTGAATATTTCCAGCTGTGGATTTTGAGGCATTTGTGATAGGGGCACATTGTCATATAGAGGAAATGGTTTCCTGGATCTCTCCAATAAAACCTCCTGAGCACTAGTCTTCTCTATCTACCAACAAAAGATTCTCCAAAGCACAGGTTGTTCATTGTCCAATAATAGAGAAAAACAATTTCAACGAATAAAAAACACTTTATGTTTTATCTTGCCGGTAAAGACTTTCCATTTTAGAAGGCGCTTTTATATTATATCATCATTACCTGAAACTTTGGCTTACTTTTATCTGCCAAAAGAAGTGCTCTTATTTTAATTTGTTCCAAACCTATAGAAATTAGTCCATTTCCCACTATATCCTCTAATAATAAAGCTATCTCAGGGTACGCTTTCCTTTTTTTTTTTTTTTTTTTTTTTTTGGAAACAGAGTCTCGTTTTGTCATCTGGACTGGAGTGCTGTGGTGAGATCTTGGCTCACTGCAACCTTCGCCTCCTGGGTTCAAGTGATTCTCCCGCCTCAGCCTCCCGAGTAGCTGGGATTACAGGTATGTGCCACCACGCTCGGCTAACTTTTGTATTTTTAGTAGAGATAGGGTTTCACCACATTGGTCAGGCTGGTCTCGAACTCTTGGTCTCAAATAATCTGCTTTTCCTGGCTGGGATTACAGGCGTGAGCCATCTCGCCTGGCCTAGTGTATCCTTTTCTGTGGTTTATATGACAAATGTTAGAGAAGTCATGACCTCTCACCCCACTGGAATACAGCCCAGTTTAGAACGCAATTAACTTTCCTATTCCTAGGCTGTAAGAAAAGAAAATCTAGTTAAATAAGAAATGTCCAGAGCCACCTTGTAAATGTCCAGATTATTCCTTTTTTACCACCATTTGGGTACTGAAAAATTTATGCAAGCAGCAGACTCTGTGTGACTCGAGTCCTTAAAATGCAGTCTTTTTACCGGGAAACCAGAATGTCCTCTGCTGTGAATACAGTGTCGTTTCTCACTGTGCAACACTTAGGATGCACATTTTGTTTACATGTGCCGTTTCACATCTTCAAATAATAATATAGAATAGTCTATCTTCAGTTCCAGTGAAAATCATGGTCTAGGCTAGTATATTTATCTAAATTAGGGTTATTTGATTTCACTGAGGTATATAGTAAAGAGACAGCCACAAATCACATTTAAGAGAAAGCAGAAAATTGAATGGTTGTTCCTAACGTTCACGGAAAATGACAGGGTCTTCATAGACCACCCAACTTTCCGGTCCAAAGCAGGAAGAAAATTCAGTTTGTCAAACACTTGGATACTGATGCCAATTTAAGAAACTTTCAGTGTTTTTGAGCTGTGTTACAATTGCTCTATTTTTATGGAATTTTTGAAATTACCCCAAAGGAAACATTCTGATTACAGGTATTATTTATCTAGGCCTAGATGGAATAATAACAAATTCAAGGAATTGACAAGTTAGAGGAAGTAAAGATTGTCTTTTATTTATTCCCTTTCTGACTGATCATCAGAAACAATTTTAAGTTAAGTAAATATCTAAAGATATAGCAAAAATGTAAATGGCCAACATGTTCAGGTTTGTGACTGTGTACTTGTCTCTAATTGTCCACTGTTAGAAAAATCATCTTCCCATTTCTTCCTTTACCCTTTGGGTGTTCGCCAATAGGTCATTGGAGAATGAACGTTAGACCAAGTCAATGTCCAGGCACCTTGTTTCCTTTGGGAATCTGGCCTTATCTGGCAAAAATCCGCAGGTACACAAATTTAAAACTCTGGTGCTCAGACTTGGCCTCAGTCATCCTAACTTCAGTGGCACCAGTTCAAATCTCTCATCCTCTCTCACTGCTGAGACCACCTGAGCTACTACCCTTTCAATATGGGCTCCATTTTCTCTTCTCACCTTCAATCAGTTCCTTCTATGTTTGGTTTCACTCTGGGCTATTGCTTTCTTCACCTTCTCTCCCATTTAGTGGTTCTGCAGACAGTCTTCTCGGTTCCATCCTATGACTTAATTGGTCCCTGAAACTTTCCCTCTATGAAAATTGACTCAGGATGGATTAAAGATTTATATGTAAGACTTCAAGCTATAAAAATACTAGAAGAAAAGCTAGGGAAAACTCTCTTGGACATTGGTCTAGGGAAAGAATTTATGAGTAAGACCTCAAAAGCACAGGCAACAAAACCAAAAATAGATAAAAAACTTCTGTTCAGCAAAATAAATAATCAGCAGAGTGAACAGACAACCTGCAGAATGGGAGACAATACTTGTACTCTATGCATCTAATAGGGCACTAATATCCAGAATTTACAAGGAACTCAAACAACTCAACAACAACAACAAAATAATCCCATTGAAAAGTGGGCAATGGACGTGGACGGACGTTTTTTAAGAGAAGACACACAAATGACCAAAAAGCATATGAAAAAATGTTCAGCATCACCAATTATCAGATAAATGCAAACTAAAACCACAATGAGATGTCGTATGACACCAGTCAGAATGGCTGTTATTAAAAAAAAAAAGAAAAGAAAATAACAGGTGTTGGTGAGGATGTGGAGAAAAGGGAGGGCTTAAGCACTATGGCAATGTGAGTTTCTACTCTGAAAGTTGCACCTCAGAGCACAGGCTCTGGTGTGAGCATATGTGCAGAGCCCCGTGGTGTGCACAGACTGCATACAACCACAGCGGTAAACCAAGTGACTGTGCTAATGAGGAAGCCTGGATTGTGTTAGAATGCCATTTCCAACTTTATTTTTAAATGATTGTGAGGATTTGCGATAGTATAAATGATTGCGAGCATTTGTGATAGTAACTCTTGATGATATGTTTTCTCTTGAGATGGAAGGAGGGAAACTGGCACATTAAATTACTGTTGTCAAGTTTCCTTACTTTTCAATCACAACGCATTTTGTTTTGTTTTGTTTTGTTTTTGTTTTTGCTTTTTTTGAGACAGAGTTTTTGAGATGGAGCACTCCAGAGTGGAGTGCAGTGGCACCATCTCAGCTCACTGCAACCTCCTGCTTCTGGGTTCAAGCGATTCTCCTGCCTCAACTTCCCGAGTAGCTGGGATTACAGGCACCCGCCACCACACCCAGATAATTTTTGTATTTTTAGTAGAGACGGGGTTTTACCATGTTGGCCAGGCTGGTCTCGAAATCCTGACCTCAGGTGATCCACTCACCTTGGCCTCCCAAAGTGCTGGGATTACAGGCGTGAGCCACTGTGCCTGGCCCATAAACCCATTCTGAGATCACCCCTACCTGCTTTCGAATTCATGAAGGAACATCTGTTCTAAGTTGGGGAGCACCACTGCAGGTCCCTAGAATAAGGCAGCTCCAGGCAGATAAATGGTCCCGCCAAAATTAAAGGAACCAGAAACAAACATAGTAATAAAGGCAAAGGTTTTAAAAGATTATTCCTAGAAATAAATTTTCTTTCTTGAAACTGTTTCTGAAAAATTAAAAGGGAGTTCAAGAGTCTTTCAGCAACAACTGTAGAAAAAAAAAAATCAGGCCTGTAATCCCAGCATGTTGGGAGGCCGAGGCAGGAGAATTGTTTAAGCCCAGGAGTTCAACACCAGCCATCTCTAAAAATTTTAAAAAATAATAATTAATCAGGCATGGTAGCACATACCTGTAGTTGCAGCTTCTCAGGAGGCCAAGATGGAAAGATCGCCTGAGGCCAAGAGGTTAAGGCTGCGGTGGGCCCTAATCGCACTACTGCACTCCAGCCTGGGTGACAGAGTGAGCCATGTCTCAGAAAATAAATAAATACATGAATAAATAGAAAAAAAAATCTCAAATTTTCTCACTCTTCGGTAAAATTATTAGTCTTCTGATTCCCTCCTAAGCCCTTTTCCTTGAACTTTCGTCACTCCCTGATTATTTGAATATTTTCTTTCTAAAGTACATTGGGGTTTAGGAAGTGACTGCCCACTTTTTTTTCAATTTGATGCTCATTACTTGCCTCATTCTAAAAGGGAAGCATCCCAGGCTCAGAAGGTGAGAGTTCCCAGAACAGGTGGTGGGTGAAGCAGCCAGGGAGGGTTCTGAGATTCCGATCGCGGGCCCTTGCCTCGTACTTTTTAAAGTTCTCTTGTCTGGGCTTTTGTTGAATTAATTTTTAAAAAAATTGAAATCCCAGCTACTCAGGAAGCTGAGGCAGGAGAATCCCTTGAACCCGGGAGGTGGAGGTTGCAGCGAGCTGAGATCGCGCCACTGCACTCCAGACTGGGCAACAAGACCAAAATTCCATCTCAAAAAAAAAATTTGAAGTGCACATTGTATTTTTTCTATTCTTAATTCCCGCTATTTTGGAACTTAGGATGTTTTAATTTCTCAGGAAATAAAATTTAGCACTTGCTTGTGGACCCATGGACAGTTGAAGAACGGGGCTTCCAATCTCCCTCCCTCTTCCAAATATACATATGTATGTATATACATGAGTTATATATGTATACTGTACACACAGATATACATGCATATGAATACATGTAATATCACATACATGATTTCATATATATGCTATATGTATGTATATGCATTAGTTACAGATGTATATTGTACATATATATATGCACATCATGTAATACACACACACACACTCACATGCATGTCAGGATTTTTTAATGCCAGCACTACTGGCATCATTTGCAACCAGGAGATTTCTCCTTGGGGGGGATTATCTGTGCACTGTCAGATACTCTATCCCTGGCCTCCACCTGCGTGATGCCAGAAGCATCCTTTTCCCAGTTCTGACACCAAAAATATCACTAAACATTTCCAAATACCTCCTGGGGGGGGCAAAATTTCCCCCACTGATGAAAAAGCAACTGATATAAAAGCATATTTTTTTCAAAAAAAATACGTAAAATGTAAAAATTCCCCACATACCTAAAAATAAATGAAAATGCAATTGAGTTCTATCACCAAATTAGCTGTTGGGGAATAAAAAAAAAAAAAAACAGCAGATTTAAAAATCATTTCTGTCATCTCATTACCCACAGACCACAGTTTCCACAGTCCAACCTCCTGGCATTTTGACTAGATCATCACAATTCTGAAATCACTGTTTGATCTGTATTTCAATAACATGAATAGTCTCAAATGCAAAAAGGGAACATTGTTCTGCATTGTATCTTCAGATTTCCTTCCAACTATCTTTGGAGGTTTACCAAGTAAATGTGACTGTCTTGTGACTCTCTCTATTAGTGTACCACTTCATGTGTGTCTTGAGATTATAATAGAAAACATCGCTTACATCAAGAGACTTGTGACTAAGTTTTAAAATCCCAAAGCTCTCGTGATTCACAAGCCTTGCAGTTAGTAGACCTGAGGGTGTTCAGTGTTGAGGAAGCCCCGGTGTGGTGGACACTGTCCCATGTGACCAGCAAACAGGCGACCCATTCACCAGGGATGAGGCCACCCATTCACCAGGGATGAGGCCACCCATTCACCAGGGATGAGGCCACCCCCTGCAGGCTTTCACCCCTTTCTGTGTGGGCTCTGAGGATGTCAACCCCCCGTTTCTTAGCCTCTGCTGCGCAGTTGCTTCCTAAGAAGATCCTCCCTATGAGGTTGGGGTCATTCAATCAAATAATCCTACTGAATAATTCTATCCCCCTTTCATCTATTTGGTGGCAGCAAAAGCATCAAATTCCAGGCCCTGACATAGAGAATCTCACAGTCTAGTAGGCTTTTGACATCTATCCCATCAAATTGCCAGAGAGTCAAAGTTTCATTCTAACCTCATAAATAAACTACTATTCAAGGGGCTGTGATTTTCAAGGCTGCTGAACAAGACTGATATTCTCGAGATTTAAAAAATGAACGCAAAACAATCAAACAAAACATTCTAGGTTGTTTACTGAGAACGCCTTTGAGTAGAAATGCTCTGAACAGTAACGTTTCCTGAGAGTGAAGTGGAAATAAAATTACCACGAGTTGATCTGAAAATAATCAGGGTTTGGATAACAAAGCAAGGTTCACATAAATAGACAGCTCTGTTATTGGATGCAAAGGGGAAGGTTACGCTTCCTGCCAGATAGGATTATTGGCACTCACGTCGCAGGAGAAGACCCTGAAGGTGGAACCTTTTTGGAGGGCCTGAAGACCACAAGGAGACCTGTGTGCTTAGGGCAAAGTGAGCCCAGGCATTATGGCTTGGCAGTGAGGGGAATTCCTGGAGCAGAGCAATGAATTTGGCTCTTTCCCTTAGAGACTGTGGGTCTTCACCATAAACTCAGATGACTTCAGCAGCCAGACCGACAGCATAAGTGAGTTCGGGAGAAAGCAAATGTCCCTCTGTATCTGTATTGCATTTTATCAGGTTGGATAGACATACATTCCTAAAAATATTTTTATGGTCACAAAATGAATCCTGCTTCATGATGATCAGCAGTAACTCACCTGGGGTATGAATGTTGGATACCAGTCATGGGTCCTAGGGACACCGGCCCTTCCCAGTTCGAGCTTGGTGGCCACGGAAGAAGAACGCTCAGTGTCTAGAAAATTACGTTTTGTTGAGAGAAGCTCAAGTTGGGACTTTTCAATGCTTAACTATTGATTTTAAAATTCTTTACAACTCTCCAAGGAAAACGCATCTGTACCTCAGCTGTCCCACAGTCAAATAGTGTGAGGCTCTGGGCCACTCATTCTCCAGTGACCAATGGGAGGCCAAAGCTCGAAGAAGCCCCTGGGAATCCCAGTCCCGACTAGAGGCTGCAGACAGACTCTGGCCCTGCAACCGAGTGCCAAGGGCAGGATGCTTCACTGTGACCGAAGTGAGATTCGTCCAGTCATTCTGTCTCACTAATCACCCCCCAAAAGTGACAAAGCTTTACACACTGAGGAGCCTCTCCTTCCATTTGCTGTGGTCTTAGTCTCTTTGGGCTGCTGTAACAAAATACCACAGCTGGGTGGCTTATCAACAGCAGACACTGATGTCTCACTGTTCTGGAGGCCGGACGTCCACATCACGGCACCAGCAGACTCATATCTGGGGAGGCCTCGCTTCCTGGCTCATAGACCATGCCTTCTCTCTGTGTCCTCGCCTGGTAGAAGGGGCAAATGATTTTTCTTTGGGGACTCCTTTATGAGGGCACTAATCCCATTCATGAGGATTTCACTCTCATGACTGAATCACATCCTAAAGCCCTCCCCCGGCCAGCACTCCCATATTGGAGGTTAAGCTTCAACCTGTGAATTTGGAAGAGGCACAAACATTGAGAACATGGCGGACCTAAAGGCCTGATACATTCCATGATGTTTTTCCAAGCACCACTGATATCTGCTTCTCCAGGAGGCCTATCCTGACTACCTTCACTTACTTTTAATTTTATAAATATGTTTCATAGAAACCCGACTATCATATTTGTCTCTATTTCATTTCAGCTCTCTAGTGATTTTATTTTATTATTTATTTATTTATTTTTTGACAGAGTCTTGCTCTGTTGCCCAGGCTGGAGTGTGGTGGCACAACCTCAGCTCACTGCAGCCTCCGTCTCCCAGGTTCAAGCAATTCTCGTACCTCTGCCTCCCGAGCAGCTGGGATCACAGGCATGTGCCACCATGCTCGGCTAATTTTCGTATTTTTAGCAGAGATGGGGTTTCACAATGTTAGCCAGGCTGGTCTTGAACTCCTGACCTCAGGTGATCCTCCCACCTGGACCTCCCAAAGTGCTGGGATTAGAGGCATGAGCCACCATGCCCGGCCTCAGCTCTCTAGTTCTATACACAGACAAACTATGTTTCCTCACTGCAGACTACCTTCTACTTAATTTGAAAGAAGGCCTGCGTGCTGAGTGGGTGTGTGCATGCAGTGTTTCTAATGCCCACGTGACAACTCAGAGTATACAGCTCCGCACAACAACCCTGAGTGATGCTGTCAGGGCCATAGCAACACAGGCACAACTATGTAAGGACATCATGCCCTATTGAAATAGCCAAGCATGTATTTTTTTTAGAAAAATAAATAATATTGTGAAAGTATCATATGCCATGCAAACATAAATTGTACTCTACTATGATACCGATGGGAAATGCATGACTTTCTTTCATCTAGGACCAAAACGTTTGAAGCCAAAACAAGTTGTTATTCACGCCACTGGCTAATGAAATTAAATGCAGCAATTAGCCCATACAGGTAAAACTGCAGCTTTCCTGCTAACATTCTAGTGATCTCTAGACCTATGCATAATAGGTGCATTTTATACATTTTAGAAAATTTGTTGTTAGTTCATGTCCTAAAATCTGATCATCATAATTCAATTGAGGCCATCCGGTAACTCTGAAGATAGAAGTGTGATTTTTAAAGATAAAGATTTGGGGCAGGCAAGATGATTCTATCCTTCTTCAGACAGGACTTCTGAACATTTAAGTCTTTAGACTATGGCATGCATTGCAACCTCCTCTTAGACAATGTGCAGTGGTGAAGGAATAGGCTCTGACCTTTGTGTCTGAGTTGCTAAGCTTCCCAGGAGCCGACCCAGCTTCACCGAGGACGCATTCACACCCAGATCTGCCACCAGCGAGGGATGCACCTTTAGGAAACTACCAAATCTGTTTATGTCTTGCTGCTGAATGGGGCTCCTTGTGTCTGTCCCATGCATCTCACATAACTTTAAGAAGAATACATCAACGACATCACACATGGAGAACAAATTGGTCTTAATTAAATCCTCTTTTGGTTTCACATGCTCCAAGGTATTAAAACGTAAGAAACAATATTTTTATAAACCAAAAAACAAAGTTGTAAAGGAAGAATCATGTGCCTATAAAGGCCAATGACAAAGATAGACAATTTGTTTGGCAATAATAATGATAATAAATTAAAACCCTTATCATTCAACACATATGAGTATGTTGACTTTGGGCCAGACATGACGACATGAAACCACAAGATATATATTTATATAAAAAAGATAGACAGTGTACTAATTAAAGTTTAGTAATTAGTAGATTATTAGTATAAACCGTGTGTCACTACATTAAATAAGTAAGTCATTGGCTTTAGTATGTCACGTTACTTTGAATACCACAAAGGTCTTCGTGTGGTCAATGTAGGCCCACCTTTATCAAAATTTCTAAAGAAATGTAGTGAAGTGTTTCTAAATAGCAGAAATCCTGTTGCAGTAACTGCAGCTGCTGGCGGCTTAGGCTCAGTGAGTGTTTGGTCTGTAGCAGTTTTATTATTAGGAATGACAGAAAATAAAATCACCAAAACCAGTGATGTGCTATGTTGTGACAGTCTCTCTCCCAGCTCTAATCCTGAGGCTGACTCAGAAACCGATTCTAATTCTGGTCCTAAACCTCACTTATTCATTTATTAAACTGTTTTTCCTATTAGCTCTCTGTTTCACTCCTCCCCCTACAAGAACGTTTCTGTCAAATGTTCAACGTCTGCTAACATCAGGCACCATCACGTCTTCAGTTCTGGCAGCCAAGACCCTGGGACGAGGCCAAGAGAGTGGAAGGAAAGCCTCGGGGTTAGAGAAGGGAGTCCCTGGGCAGGGCCCCACCTGACATGACCCAGGGATAGGACGCCATTCCCACCCCCTGGGATGCCCCAAAGTGGCTTCCCAAGCTCCTGTGAACAGAGAGGAAGAAGCCACTCCAGAAAGTCACATGTATGGCAAAAGGTAAGCTTTGCCAAGTCACTTGTGAGCGCGTGTGCTGGAGACCAAATAGTCTAAGCTGCTGGGGAAGTGGAGGGAAAGTCCTGCCTCACACCCGCCCACGGTCTGCTGTTACCACGTCCACATCAGGTAGCTGGCGTGTCCCTGTCAAGCACAGCATTTCTAACCACGATGCCAAATGCACCAAAGCACGGGAGCCAAAACCATTCTTGTTGGTGAAGCTGCCTCTTGAAACCGTTTTTCAATATTGTCTCATGAAAGCAAAAATAAATTATCCAGTGCAAAGTTTTTAAGCAATGTCCACAGGTATGACTTCCATACCCCAAACATAGCCTAGGGAAGCAGGAAGGGAGGGAGGGAGAGGGGGAGGGAGGGAGGAGAGAGGAAGGGTAATGGAGAGCAGGACAAAGTGGGGAGGAGAAGGAAGGAAGAGGGGTAGAAGGTAAAGAAAGAAATAAAGAAAAGAAAGGAAAGAAAGAGGAAGAGGGAGGACGGTGAAGGGGAGGGGAGGGAAGGGGAGGGGGAGAAGGAGTAGGGGGTAGAGAAGAGGAGGGGGAGGGGAGGGAAGGGGAGGAGAGGTGTGGAAAGGGTGGGGGGGAATGGAGGAGGGAGAAAGGAAAGGAAGGGGAGAGGAGGGGAGGAAAAGGGGGATGAGGAGGGGAAGAGAGGGCAAGGGATGGGAGGGAAGGGAAGGAGGAGGGAAGGGAGAGGGGGAAGGGAAGGACGAAGGGAGAGGGGGAAGGGAAGGACAAAGGGAGAGAAAAGAGAGAGAGAGGGAGGGAGGAAGGAGAGAGGGAGAAAGAAAAGAAGGAAGGAAGCAAGGAAGGAAGGAAGGAAAAAGAAAGAGAAAGAAGAGAGGAAAGAAAGGAAGTAAGGCAGGAAGGACAGGAAAGGAGGGAAAGAACATGAATTGTATCTTATGAACAGAAAATATAAAAGTGATTATTTTCAAGTAAAGAAGTACCTGCAGTGCAGGATGCATTGCGTTACTGAATTCTAACACATATAAATAAGATTTCTTAATGTCTACATGCACATTATTTGGGTCGCCACAGATACCTCAAATTTAAATCAAGCTAGCTCTGCAAATGATTTTCTACTTCCTGCCAATCTCCCTAAACGTCATCCATGACAATACCCTGCCTTTGTTTTGGTTCTAGAGCTTGGAGGTTCTAGAGCATCAGGACAGACAGAAATACGGAAGGAAAGCTTGAAGAATGTGTGGATTTCAGCTCTTCACCACCACAGAACAGCAGTATTGTGAGGCAAGCGCTTTCTGGAGCACTTCGTACACCACAGGTTCATGATACATATTAATTAATTGTGACATTTGTGTTTTCAATTAAAAATAAATATAGTCGAATTAGTCTGTATCTATGCTCTCTGATATAGTAGCCACCAGCTCCCTGTGTCTACTATTTATATTTTAAAAATTCAAATTAAATATGATTTGAAATCCAGCCCCCCGCCATCACACTGGCCACACTCCCAGTGCTCAAGGATAAGCTGCTGTTGGCTGCCACGTGGGACAGCACAGGGGTGTCCACCATTGTGCAGGGTCTGCTGGGCAGCCCTAGGCCAGGTCCTGCCCATCCAGGTCCCCTGCAGCCCACAGGCCATTTAATTCTAACACATATAAATAAGATTTCTTAGTGTCTATGTGCACATGTAGACTGTCTTCGGACGTTGTACTCCCTATCTGGTTTCAGGCTGTCTTCGGACGTTGTACTCCCTATCTGGTTTCAGGCTGTCTTCGGACGTTGTACTCCCTATCTGGTTTCAGGCTGTCTTCGGATGTTGTACTCCCTATCTGGTTTCAGGCTGTCTTCGGATGTTGTACTCCCTATCTGGTTTCAGGCTGTCTTCGGATGTTGAACTCCCTATCTGGTTTCAGGCTGTCTTCGGACGTTGTACTCCCTATCTGGTTTCAGGTATTCTTATTTTTCATAATTCATCTCTCTGCTATTTTAGGATAAGGAACAAATGCACCCCTGGGAGCCATTGGGGTCCAACCAGAGGTTTCCTCCCCTCTGAAGAGAGAACTTCTGGGTTGCCTGCAATTCCACCAGGTCTAGAATCTTTCCACCAACCACCCCTTGCCAGGCTTTTTATCCATAATTAGTTTATCGATCAATTGGTGTGTTTTGTTTGCTTGCTTGCTTGCATTCTAATGTTTTCTGAAAGCCCAAAGGTATGTTTCAGATCTGGATTCTAGATCTAGATCTGGGTTAGATCTAGATCAGATCTAGAATCATAGATTCTAGAATTTATGAAATTGAGTTGACTCAGTTGTGACCTCTTTCTTTCCTTATGATTTAAATAAATAATTTACTTAGATAAGCATGTGTGCTGCTTAGGATTTTTGCCATGTTTTACATGAGTGACACTCCTGTGAGGTAAGGGATTCCTTCCTCCCTATCAGGCCACCAGGCAGAAAATGCATGGTAAGCGCCCCCTGCTAGGGCCTGCATAACACTCCTTTTTGACTTTCATGGTAGAGTCACATACATTATTCAAAGCCTCTCCTTGAAGATCTAGGAGACCGACTCTTTGTTCTGGTTATTGCCTTTTACAGATACATGCTGCCAAGCCATGAGCTCCTCTCTCTTCCTGTTGGCGAGTATTTTCATCTATTACCTTCATTCACTGAGGCAGTGTGAGGAATTAGTATCACAAAGAATGATTGGTGTGGGAAATGACATGGAGAGAAGGAGGAATGGACGCTGACCATTAACGTAGATGGTCTTGTTTTATTTTTCTCTTTGGTTCCATTTCTATCTCATCTAGAGTTGCTGGGTTTAGAGATCTTCCTTTCCAATTTTCTTTAGGAAGAGTTGTGGATGTGCGTGTGAGTGTGAGTGTGTGTGGACTCCAGCTTTCATTCATAATTTTGTCTGTAAGATAAAATGACCTTGGCTGGTTTCTAGGGCTTCCTCTATTTTCTCGTCTACTACTACTACTACTACTAATAATAATAATTGGCTGGGTGCGGTGGCTCCCAGCCTGTAATCCCAACACTTTGGGAGGCTGAGGCGGTGGGATCACTTGAGGTCAGGAGTTCTAGACCAGCCTGGCCAACATGGTGAAACCCCATCCCTACTAAAAATACAAAAATTAGCCAGGTGTGGTGGCACACAACTGTAATCCCAGCTACTTGAGAGGCTGAGGCAGGAGAATCACTTGAACCCAGGAGGCGCAGGCTGCAGTGAGCTGAGATCATGCCACTAAACTTCAGCCTGGGTGCCAGAGGGAGAATCCGTCTCAAAAACATAAAAATGAAAAAGAGACTGGATGGGTGTGGTGGCTCACACCTGTAATCCCAGCACTTTGGGAGGGGGTGGTGGGAGGATCTCTTGAACCCAGGAGGTTGAGACCAGCCTTGGCAACATAGCAAGACCACATGTCTATTTTTAAATAAAACATTTTTGTAAAAAAGATGATTAAACAGTGTATGTCTATTAGCTTTCACCTCTAAAATATCTGTTATGTTATTAAGACAGCAACACATGAATAAGGACACCTCGTGGATGAACGTATTAACAGTTGCAGATGGCTGCAGCCAGGACATCCCTTCCTCATGCGACTGCGTCATCTTTATATAAAGCGTGTGCTTCACTGACCTGTGAGTGCCATGTGGACAAGGGAGATTTAGGTTAAGCTCCCTACCTTCTTAGCACTTAGCCTAAGGCTCTCACCCAGAGCCATAATGATATATTTCATTTAGAAATATCCAAAGCAAACACATTTCCTCTTCAGTTAGGAGTTTAGTTCCTATTCCTATCAAGATGATAGCTGTGGAGTAGACTCTATTAACGTCCTATTCTAGGGATTTTCATAAATTTAGTTTGGGAATGCATGGCTTTCAATCCTGGAAGAAGTTTTCTTTTTGTTTTTGTTTTGTTTTCTTTTGCTTTTTAGATGACAGCTTCAGAAAATAAATTAGTTGAAAAACTAAACAGCACTATGGACAGACTTTTTACAGATTTGTCCAATAACTGTTCACACAGACCCATGTGCACACACACACACAAGCACATGCACAAACACTCACACATCTGACTGCCCCAGGCAAGGCCTTTCCTCGCTACAGACCTCTTTCTCTTTAGCCACAGTCTGGAGTGGATCCCACTTCCTCAGAGTTCTCTCCTGGCCCATTCTACATTAAACCCTTCCTGGGCTGAGGCTAGTAACAGCTGCGGTCAGAAACATCCCCCAGGCCGGGCCAGGCTTACGCCTGTAATCCCAGCACTTTCGGAGGCCAAGGCAGGTGGATCATGAGGTCAGGAGTTCCAGGCCAGCCTGGCCAACATGGTGAAACCCCACGGTGAAACACAAAAATTAGCCAGGTGTGGTGACATGTAACTGTAATCCCAGCTACTCAGGAGGCTGAGGCAGGAGAATTGTTTGAACCCAGGAGGCAGAGGTTGCAGTGAGCCGAAATTGTGCCACTGCATTCCAGCCTGGGCGACACAGCAAGACTCAGTCTCAATAATAAAGAAAGAAAAGAAAAAAGAAAGAAAAGAAATATCCCCGAAAGTCCCTGCGTGTATTCACATTATTTGCCATCAATGCATCAGGGTTTTACAAATGGCTCTTTATTCTATTAGTTTATTACCGTGGCCTAACTACCTAGCCTTGCCAAGCACTGGTGTCCTTATCTGTAAAGCTGGGATAGCATGGTACTTACTATAAATGGTGTTAGGGGGATCAAACGCAGTCAAGCTCAGTTCTCAGCACATAGAATTAAAACTGTGAATAAATCATTATTGTTATTTTATTAGTGACAAGTTTTCTAATCTTGAAAGAAAATATAATGCTTTGATTTTACAATAGTCTGCTGGTTACATTCTCTTTTTTACACCCAGCTCATGACTGTACTGTTTGTTCCATTTTGCTTATTTCAGTGAGGTGGTTGGGAACAAGCCTGCATCTAGATAGCTTATGTTCGAATCCCAGATGACTGACTGTATAGCTGTGTTAGTTAAAGGAAGATGGCCACAATAATAAATAAACTCCAAAATCTCAGCAGATCCCAACTGTGGAATGTATTTCTTGTTCATATCGTGTCCAAAGCAAGGGCTCTTAATTAGCAGGGTGCTTCCCTCCAGGCAGTGATTCAGGGACCCAGGCTTTTTCCCTCTTTTCCTCTACATTGTCCACTTGTGGCTATCAACTCACCAAACTCTACTACACCAAAGTAGCAGATCAGAATAGCATATGAGGCATTTCTCATGGGGGTTTTGTTGGCCCAAACCTGGAAGTGGTACACATTCCTTCTCCCTACATCAAGCAGACAGGGCCTCAGTCCTATGTCATGCCTAACTGTAAGAGGTCCTTTGAATACTGCTCTGGGCTCAGAAAGATGAAGAGGTGGAGTTGGTGACCATCGAGCCACTCTGTCTGATGAAGTTCTCTGGAAAAATGGAAATGGTGCACGTCTTACTATCCATAGCACACAAGCACACAGAGCAGGAGCCTCTCCCATCATGGCTTTGATTAATTTACTTCCCTGAGTTTTCACACCTATAAAATAGGGAATAGCAAAAGCATGCATTTCAAAAAGCCATGGGAATTGAATGAGTAACACTGGCAAGTCCTATTAGTTTTATAATTACATGACATCGTGTGCTCCTTTCCAGAGCGTCTGTCTCTTTAGCTAATAGCGACCATGCTCAAACCTTCTCAGCCGCCACTCCAGGTGAAGCAGCATAGTTAAGAGAAAGAAGCACATTCTAAAGTCATGCCTGGGTTTCATGCCTGGCTCTCCTACATAGTTTTTGGGCTATGCTGGGCAAATGATGCCATTCTCCATTTGCCTATCTGTAAGTTGGATTGTTTTCAGGATTAAATAAGGTGGCAGACATGGAGTGCTCAGCAGGGGCTTTAGCTGCTGCTTCTCACCCCACACAAAAGCCCCTTATCCAACCTCAAGTCACAGGGCCACCTGAATAAACTGATTCTTCACTAGTAACTGAATCAGCCACTTGGGAATTAACGCCAATATTGGCCACTTCGATCAGCATCACTCCTTATAACTCTCTCACCACAGTGGCAATGACTACGCTTTTAACCTCTGGGAAGCTCAATATTTTCACCAGGATCTTATGCTTTGTTATTTTTGTCCTAACATTTTTTCCCTTAATTTCCAGACTCATAGCCCATGAGCTACCAACTGAGGGTGGCTCCGCAGGACTCTTGATGATTTCTCACGGTCTCAGGTGACGTGCAAAACCATCCCGGTTGTCAGTGCTGCGCCCTGGTCTTCCTTTCCTAGAAACCTACTACGGGAATCCCTAGGTCCAGATTCTGAGAAGATGGAGGGAGCAGCTTCACTGTACACGAACTTGGGGAAGCTAAAGGGCAAAGTGAGGGGCGGGTGTGCTGGTGAAGATGAGGGTGAATCTAAAATGAGAGGATAAGGTACCCAAAGTATGAGCTGGGGAATAAAGACCACTTTCCTCCCCCAGGCACTGAACTAAATGGCTTTAAGGACATATTAAGCAGGTCTCCAGGAGAACTGTTGGGTAAAAATCACCTAGCAGGCTTAGTGCAGTGGGGTCTGCAATGGTCCCCCACAGCCCTCTTCACCACATAGATCACTTAAGGAAAATCAGACACATGCTCAGGCGTCCGGCTCTGCCAAGCAGACCTCCCATCCCAAGCAGGGAGAAGTTCAGCTTATTAGTAAGCAATTATTAATGACGTGAACAAATACTTCTGTGATGAGGTAAAGCAAGCGATCTATCAACTCAGAATGTTTTAGACAAATTTTCGTGATTTTGATGCCAATGACAACAGTCTCATCATCAGTGTACCACACGTCATTACAGGTCATAGTTGCATCAGTTTGAGTAACAATTACTTGATGTCGTGCATTTGAGATAAGTGTGTTTTACAGTGGAATTACACTGATAAGGTTGTATCCAGGAGGTGGTGCTTTAAGATTCACTTTTGAAATTTTTCTTTTATGACCAAATGACCATTTGCGTTGTGGTGTTGATGATACAAGGTACCAGATGAATGTCTTTCTTCAGCAATGTGTTCACTGTCAACATGAATAAGTAGCTTTCACATACATGCCATTTTAAAAATTCAGCTTGAGGCCAGGCGTGGTGCCTCATGCCTGTAATCTCAACACTTTGAGAGGCCAAGGCGGGCGGATCATGAGGTTAAGAGATGGAGACCATCCTGGCCAACATGGTGAAACCCCATCTCTACTAAAAATACAAAAATTAGCTGGGTGTGGTGATGCACGCCTGTAATCCCACCTCTTCAGGAGTCTGAGGCAGGAGAATCGCTTGAACCCAGGAGGCAGAGGTTTCAGTGAGCAGAGATTATGCCATTGCACTCCAGCCTGGTGACAGAGCAAGACTCCGTCCCAAAAAAAAAAAAAAAAAAGAAAACAAAAATTCGGCTTGAAATTTGCCTCAAGAGCAAAACAAACTTACTCCAAAAGGTTTGGTTCCAAAATGTACATGTGCCCTCGCTTGCTATAAACCGTAAAATGTTGCTGCGTGGGTGCCGGCCCCATGGAAGAGGAAGGAAACAACTTTCAGAACACACAGTAATAAGCAACTTAAAATAAGCCTGCGAGTGAGATCTTCCCTGCCTATTGCTGGGAAGTAAAATAAACATTTCCAATAGAGGAGAAAAAGCAGAAGTCTTCATGAAGACGGAAAGTCCATAGAATAGATCAGGATGAGGCTCACGACTTTGGACTCAACAAAGCAATAAATGTCATTTTCAGGTGGCCAAATGTCATTGTGATGCTGAGACATTTGAAAATGGCATGAGCCATTTATTGTAAATATATTACTGCAAAGCCACAAATGCTATTCCTGCTACAGGACAAGATAAAAGCAGATATAACAAACCAAGCTAAAGGAAAAGCTATACTTTCTCCCTGTGGACGAGGCATTGAAAGCTGATGTTATTTTGAGGGGGGCGGATTCACAGTACGGTTATCTGGCTATCAGCATCTGTCTTCTCTCTTCTTCATTTCACCAACTTGGACTGGGCCAGGTGCCCCAATTTACCTTAATCTGTAGGCTCCAGTCTAGGTCGTTCTTGGAGCATTTTTATTTTCCTCCAAGAACCTGGGGATCTTTTCAGGCTCTCTCATCTTTGATTATTGAAAAGCATAGGGGTCACTATGTGTTGGGCGTGATCAGCCATTTCTAAAACTCCAGCCCCCAAGACATTCACAGGCTTGAATTTCACCTCCTTTACCTCCTTTATTGGCAAGTTCTTGATTCCGTCTAAAACCAAATCTGATTTGTAAAAGATGTGGTGTTGCCAGCATTAAGATGTCTGTGCAAAGGTGAATGAGACTGCATGTGAGTCCTGCATCCCCACAGTGACCAGCTGCACAGTGGGCTGCCGGGAACGATCAGGGTTGGCCTCCCCATACCCAGCTCACTCCTCCATCATTCAGGAACTCATCCGTTTATTGTATTAGCTAAAGCTTTAAAGATACAAAAACTGGGCCCCTTCCTTGAAGGAGTTCACTTTTTAGAAGGAAAGTTAAACATTTCACAAAAGAGGTAAAATAACCAAAGCCATCCACAGTCGCAGATCCAAAACGTGAACGCAGGCCGGGCTGTCCCTAAAGCCCATGCCCTTTCTCCGGACACTGCTGCATGTGAGGGACGTGGGCCCAGGGCCCAGACTCATGATATCACATCTGGTGATTCAATGACTTCCAAAGAGGTTAAGGCAGGCCCTGGGAGGTTGAATTTGGTGCTCCTAGGTCAGCTGCGGGAGGGGCACCACGGTCCAGACTCAGAGCCTTTGATCTTATTTATGCAGGTCCCCAAAGGAGGCATCTCATTAAGTCCTATTACCCATAATCAACTTTCAAAGAACTAACTTTGTAAAACATATCAAAAGTACATGTGTTTTTCCTAAACTTTGGACCTCACAGAGAGCAAGGACCAAAGATTTTGTAATTGAGTTATTGACGTGCACCTCGGCACCGTTTGGAGGAGCAGAGGCGTGGGAACGTGACACGCCATCAGGCGCAGCCTGTCCCTTTGGAAATCGAGACGCTTGTAGGATTAGAGACCTTCGCAGTCACTCTGCCATCCCATCTATCACTGTCCAGTTCTATAAACTGGAATAAGAGGGAGCTGAAATACAAAAGGGTTACCTTGGAGGATGTTTGTAAGAGTACAGCAACCAGTGTAAGAAGAATTCCATATTTCTCCATCACAAGGTTTTAGCCAATATCTCTGGAAGATAATCAAGGTCAGCCTTAAAAAGTAAATGTGAAGAAAGACACTTTTCACTGAGATCTTCATTTCCATGTGTTCTCTGGCCCCCACTCCCAGCTACCCTTCAGCCTTCTCATTCAACAGTCTTTCCGAGGACACATTCCTGCCCCAGATTCTGGGAAGAGGATGCAGCTCACATCCAGGAGGCCCCAGGACACTCAGGCCCCCACCCCGTGGCTCAAGTCTGTGGTCACTTGATTTGCTTTTACCGTAATCTTCCTAAACCCAGTCCCCCGTGAAACCGTCTTTATCTATGTATTTTTTAAATTCATATGTTTGTACACCAGTGCTCTTTTACTCACTGTGTTTAGATTTCAAAATAATTTGAGGTGATCTAAATGTATCAGTGCCCCCTCCCATAAAGATCCATTACCTGCTTTCCAGGAATTATCTCAACAATAATATTCAGGAGGGGCAGAAATGACCAGTTTTTTCTTTGGCACTGACTCTGTGTGACTCTTCACATATACATGATCTTCAATCCTTACTACCACTTGGTAAGACATGTGCTCCTGCTTTGCAGGTGAGGAAAAAATAAATGATGCACAAAGAAATGAGGAGAATTTTCCTAAAATCTAACAGACCTCCCACAGTCCATGCAGGAGCAAGGGTTCCAATGCAAAATCGTCGTTAGTGAATCTGATGAAAGTCAAGTCAGAAACCCTACCTGATTCATCTTTATTCCCCAGGGATGACATACTGTCTGTTTGCAATATTTTCGAAGATAAAGAATATCAAACTGAGAAAATCTGGTGGTAAATATGTGCTGTGCGTAAGAACTATTTGTTGCATTTTGAGTCAGACATATAAGTGGTGTCTCTTCCAAATGAGCTGCAGTTGGTTTACCCCATTTAATTGTTTTTTCTCATCCTAAAAATAAACCCATCCTTCTGATTACTGAGACTTTACTTGAGATATCATGGTAACCCCCAGGTGATTTCTAGGACATAAACCAGGCGTCACAACCCTTGGTGCCAACAGGAACATGCAGACAATGGGTTTAGGTGGACGGTGTGTGCAATGAAGGGGGGAGAGCTTGTTCTCAGCTCAGTGATGAGGATGGCTGTGAGTGACAGTCCAGTGAGGAGGGGTTAAACCCTCTCCACACGCAGCCCCCCAGTGTGTGTGCCAGATACAAAAGTTTCTCAAAAGAAGCCAGAAATCCATAGTTTTATGTGAAATTTCATGGTTTTTTAAATGTTGGTATGTAGCTTATGTTTGAAATTCTGCCTGGGAATTTTGAGTACTGCTTTGTTCATGTCATAAAACCCAAGAAATTAAATGGCTTTACGCTCAAAGTTATATAAAAAAATAACAATCATGGTTACATGGCTTTACATAGGGGGCACAATGAAAGGTTTTACATTTATACTCTCTTCTTTTTTAAAATGTTACCAGGACACAGAGATGACGTTTCTCTGCAGACCCACCAGTAGCACTGTACCGTGGGTTATATAACTTCTACTAGTGGGATGGGAAAATAGGAAGAAAGGAAATACCTCCCTGTGAATGTCGTATAAATTTACGTCTACACAGAAGCCCCGGACCTAGGCAAATCCAATGACTGTTCCGTTTTGCTTGTTCTTATAGGAAGATTCATGTGGCCCAGACCACACTAACTTCCCCACAGTCAATTTCTTCTCCGCTCAGCTGAACTCCCAGCACTGCGAGCACAGCTGGCTCCCAGCACCCATGGATGGCCTCCGCTTCTCCACCGCACTTCAAAGAGGCTTTTCCATTCCCTCATTCAAAACTCCATCCTACTAATCCTCCATCTCAACCAGGAACTTGGCTTCTAATTTCCCTAAAATAAAGATGACTATATAAATAAGTAAATATAAGATGAAATATAATAAAATTCTGCTTGGGACGATGATATGAAAAGTGCTCTTGGAGCCAACAATTTGAGACCAAAACCCACATCTGAGCCTGGCTTGAGAGCTACCAGTTTGGAACTTGGATGTGGGAGCCATGGAGGGCCTCCTCACAGGTAGCTCATTTTTATAAAACTTTGTTCCCAAGGGCTCCTCTCTCAGCAGTGGGCTGGCACCCTGGAAGCCAGCATTGGCCATCTGTGGTTCTGGGTAGCTTTTCTTGGCTGTTGGACAGGAATGCATGGCCGGGTCTGAGCTGCTGACCCCACAGAGACACTGTGACAAGTCCTCAGGCTGCCCAGGCAGAGCCAGCACCCTGGGCAACGTGTCTTCCAGAATGTTTGGACGAGACACTAGGCCATCACAGACATTTGTAAATCTTGTTGTTTTATCCAACGATAACACAGAGCAAAAATATTAATGCCATAATTTTAAAAACACATTACTTTCAAAATGTTTTTAATTGACACATAATCATTGTCCACGTTATTGGGGTCCACAGTGCTCTTTCAATGTATATCATACATACAGACCAGATCAGGGTAATTAGCATATCCATTATTCCCAACACAAAGAAATAGGAAGTAATACTTTTTATACCTAATTACTTCAGCAATGATTGGACTGCACTGAAAACAAGCATGAAAATGCTCAGCTCCAAAGACATCTATGCCGAAAGTCAAGGGAGACTAAAAGAGGAAATGTCGAGTAAAACTTCCTTTTCAACCAGAGCAACACTACAATACATACATGATTAAATTAAGTCCCTAACACATTATTTAGGCTTTAATAATAGTAGAGCTGTTTCTTTTTCCTTTTTTTTAATTTTTTGTCTTATAGTTCAAACTGCCAAATATAGTGGCAAGTTGCCAGCTTTTGTTAATTTCCTAATTGATTACAAGATATTTTGCTTCCTTAATTAAGACTTGAGAGAATATAAAATCAGATAAAATGCAAAAATTTTGCTCTCTTCTTTTAATATGAGATTCTAGTTACAAAAGGAAATGATTAAGAAAAGGAAATCAAAGGCCATTTAATTCCATTTAATTTAGCGAATATTTTTCGATTACCTGCCATACGCTTTCGGTAATGAACACTGAAGTTATAAAAAAGGATTAAGAATCTGTGCGTATTTTAGAGTAGTTTGTAACATAACAATGGAGATCTCTATTTCAAAACTACTGAAAAAGTCATATGGAGTGCAATACTAGTATTGTGGTGTTTTAAAGATCAGAGACAAACTACCTTTAATGTGAAGGCTGCAGGGATATTAGAGGTTCTGAAGTATTTCACCATGGCAGCAAGTCACTGGGAAGAACGAATTCGAAGGTGAATAAAAGTCTTAAGCCTGTATTCTAGGGAATGGAGGAACTATTAGAAGGAGCAAGAAAATTGGGGGCGGGGGATGAGGAGGAGACCCTGAAGGAAAAATGTGGCTATGGCTGTGGTGAGTCTTACGGTACAAGCAGTCACACTGTGTGGATCTCAAACAGATCATGAAATGCACACCTTGAGGTCCAAGAGCCCAGAGCTGGGAACGTGCATTTAAAAATTGTCAAAGGTACTGTGGGCTGGTCGTGCTGGCTCACGCCTCTAATCTCAGCACTTTGGGAGGCTGAGGAGGGCGAATCACCTGAGGTAAGGCATTCGAGACCAGCCTGGCCAACATGGTGAAACTCTGTCTCTACTAAAAATACAAAAAAAAAAAAACAAAAAAACCGTCTACAGAGGGAAGATGACTAAAGTCTTCTGCCTGAAAGACATCCCGAGGTCAAGGAAGAAGGTTGAGATGGAGAGCAAAGAGCAGCTGAAAGCCAGAATTTTGCAAAACCCTATATTAAGAATAAGGAAAAAGAAAGCCATAGGAAGCAATAAAAGCCAAGGAGAACCATAAAAATGTATTTTAGTAAAAACCTTAAAAAGGAAAGGTATCCAGAAGAATGTTGGAATCAAAGTATGTCTAGTAATGTCAAATTTACAGAAGTTCAAAGACAATGAGACTGGCTTGCTTTGGGGAAGAGAAGGTGCAATTTGATAAGTGATTTTCATAGAGTCACAGGATAAAAAATTAGTTATCAAGAGACAAATTATGAATAAAAGAAGTGGCTGCAGTGAGAAAATAATAGCCAAATGTATTGTGGAGGTGGACATTGAAGAAAGCTTGTTATATTGAACGATATAAAAACTAAAGTCAGGAAAAGATTTTTTCATTTTTTACAGGGGAGGAATGATATAATGGGGAAAAAAGAAAGTACGAAAGGGAATAATAGGTGGATAAAGATTCTGAGGATGAAGTACACTTCATAAAGAAAATATAGGTAGAAAAGAGGAGGATGATTTCCTCTAAGATGAGAGAAAAGAAAGTGAGTAGTAAGAGAATTAGGATACAGAAAAAAAAAAGAAATCTGAAATAGAGATGAGAAAAGCCAGCAACATTAGGGATACACTTGATAAAGGAATTGAGTTAAAAATCTTAGAAGTATTGAGGTGATGAGACTCACGGATTACAGGGCATGAGGAGCAGGCAGCTTGAGCAAAGCAAAGGGTTTTTGATCACTGCCATCAGAGTATGATAGGGTTTTAGCAAAGAGTATCAGCAGGGGCAGGGAGAATACATCATTGCATGTGTTGCTATATTCTCTATTTTATTTATTTATTTTTTTTGCCAAAGTGTAAATGGTTTAAGAATAGGACTAAAATGTATATTACCCAGAACACTTAGCACAGTTGAATGCTTATAATAAATCTTAATTAATTTTATCTGCTAAAAACCTTGTAATAAAACTAAACACTTTCCTACTAAGATAAGAACAAGGCGAGAATGACCCTGCTCACTACTCCTTTTTAACATCATACTGGAAATCCTAGCTAATGCAATAAGACAAGAAAATGAATTAAAATATATTCAGGTTTGGAAAAAAGAAATAAAATAGTTTTGCTCACAGAGGAAACAATTTTCTCAATAAAAAATCTCAAAGAATGAAAAGCAAAAACAATAAGAATAGCCTCGTGGAACTAATAAATGATTACAGCAAGGTTTCAGAATGCAAGATTAATATACTAAAATCAGTCTAGGCACAGTAGCTTATGCCTGTAATCACAGCACTTTGGGAGGCTGAGGCGGGTGGATCACCTGAGGTCAGGAGTTTGAGACCAGCCTAGCCAACATGGTGAAACCCCATCTCTACTAAAAATACAAAAATTAGCCTGGCATAGTGGTGAAATATATATATATATATATATATATATATATATATATATATATATATATATACACACACAAAAATCAAATCAATTGTTTTCTGTATACCAACACTGAAAAGTTAGAATTGGAAATTAAAGCCACGCTACTATTTACCAACACCAGAAAAAAAAATACTTCAGTATAAATCTAACAAAATATTTATAAGATCTAAATGAAGAAAACTATAAATTGTCATGAAGGTAGTCAAAGAGGAGTGAAATAAAGGAAAAGGTATCCCATATTAATGAATAGAAATATTCAATATTGTTAAGACATCAGTTCCTCCCATATTAATTGATAGATTTAATGCAATTCCTATCAAAATCCAAGCAAGTTGTTTTGTGGCTATCAACAAACTGATTCTAAAGTTTATATTGAAAAGCAAGAGTCCCAGAATATCCAACACAGTATTGAAGAAGAACAATATTTAGGACTTAAAGACTTACTGTACTGAGTTAAAGGCTTACTGTAAACTACAGTGATCAAGACAGTGTGGTATTGGTAAAAAGAACAGACAACTAGATTAATGGAACAGAAGAGAGAGCCCTGAAATACACCCACACAACTGAACCTTCACAAAGGAACAAATGCAATTTAATGGAGAAAGTTTGGCCTTTTCAACAAATGACACCAGAACACCTGGACATCCACATTCAAAAAACAAATCAAGACACCAACCTTACATCAAGCTCTATCAGCCCATGGCCTGCAGGCCCCATGCAGCCCAGGACAGCTTTGAATGTGGCCCAACATGAATTCATAAACTTTCTTAAAACATTAAGAGATTTTTATAGCAGGGCACGGTGGCTCACGCCTGTAATCTCAGCACTTTGGGAGGCTGAGGCGGGTGGATCACAAGGTAAGGAGTTCCAGACCAGCCTGACCAACATGGTGAAACCCTGTCTCTACTAAAAATGCAAAAATTAGCTGGGCATGGTGGTGGGCGCCTGTAATCCCAGCTACTCAGGAGGCTGAGGCAGGAGAATCCCTTGAACCCAGGAGGCGGAGGTTGCAGTGAGCTGAGATCATGCCACTGAACTCCAGCTGGGGCAACAGAGCGAGACTCTGTCTCAAAAAAAAAAAAAAAAAATTAAGAGGGTTTTTTTTTTTAGCTCATCAGTTATCTTTAGTGTTAGTGTATTTTATGTGTGGCCCAAGGCAATTCTTCTTCTTTCAATGTGGCCCAGGAAAGCCAAAAGATTGGGCACCACTGCCTTACACCATTCACAAAAATTAACTCAAAATGGATAATAGACATAAATGTAAAAGGAAAACTTGTAAAACTTCTAGAAGATGATATCACAGAAAATCTTCAGGCAGATGGCTATGTAATGTAAATTAATGGCCACTGAGAATAGACACCATGACCACCATGTCTGAGGGATGCTTCGGTGAGATCTGCAGCTTCAGCTTTAAATATCCACTAGGGTAATATCCATATTATTACCCAAATTTGTTGCCTTGAAGTGCACTTTGTCTATAACCTAAATATTTCCTTCTACATTTTTAATCTGTTTTCATTTGTACTCTTCCTATAATAAGCCTCCAAGCATGTTGCTGTTTCACGACCCTGAGAAGAATGAGACAGCACACTATCACTGACCGCACACAAATTAGAGAGGTTTCATTAGCTGGGTCCTCTTCACAGATATCCTGTCAAAAGCAGGTTTCAGGGTGAGAACAAAGGACATATGAAGGAGTTTGCAGAATGAGATGGAAAAAGAAAGCCTGTGAAAATGGAATCAAACCACAGGGTGACAAACTTCATTGTCTTCAAATTATGCCTAGAAATAATAATGAAATAGCATTGAAGTCAGGTTAAGCCCCATTTCCCTGGACTACACATCATAATTCTACTATTACACTGACACTGGCTTGTATGTAATATTGCTTAAAAGATTACACCATTTGGCTGGGTGCGGTGGCTCACGTTTGTAATCCCAGCACTTTGGGAGGTCCAGGTGGGCAGATGGCTTGAGGTCAGGAGTTCGAGACCAGCCTGGTCAACATGGCAAGAACCTGTCTCTACAAAAAATACAAAAATTAGCCGGGCGTAGTGACGCATGCCCGTTGTCCCAGCTGCTCAGGAGGCTGAGGTAGAAGAATTGCTTGAATCTGGGAGGTGGAAGTTGCTGTGAGCCAAGATCGCACCACTGCACTGCTGCCTGGGCAAAAAAGGGAGACTCTGTCTCAAAAAAAAAAAAAAAATACACCATTTGAAATTCAGAAATTATTTCTGCATATGTCTTCTTTTTTCCTTATAACTGGAGCCTTTTATTTTATCTTTTCTCTGCCATCAGCAACATGTAGTTTCACCTTGGAATAATGTGGTTGATCCAGGTATATTTGTTGTTAATTGGAACGCCAATGAAAATATAATTAGAACAGATTTTCATAGGATATAACAATTAAAAAATTGGGAGCCACGTTTGGTTTGAAGTTGGGTTTCTATGGAAATAGCAAAGCTCTCAGAATAACCTGCCAGAAAAATCTGAATTCAGTATGAAGTGTCTAGATGCCAACAGCAGGTAGACAACAGAGATGAGAATCAAGAAAGGAAGATCGAAAGTGATTAAGAGAAAAGAAATAGAAAGTGACAATGACAAAAGTACATGTTATTGAAGAAATGACTGTGCAGTGGATCTGAAATAAAAAAAAAAAAACCTAGAGGGAAAGAAATGTGTGAATTAAAGTTCATACCTAAAAGTACAGCAATTATATTTAAAAAGAACGTTCATATTCTTTGCCCAAGAATGTCACGAGAGTGGATGCCGTTACATTAAATTATAATCTCTCTGGGGAAGAGGTACAAGCAAATTTACTAAGGTATTTAAAATTGCACTTTAAAATTTTTAAAAAAGAATTTTAAAAAATTCCACAGGGAGCAATAACTCATTGGCAGCTATATCAACTCGACAAAACATTTCCAGTTCTAATTTCATAGGGCCAGATTAGGTTCTTATTTTTATTCTCTGTATTATATATATTTAATTACCATCTTCAGAACTTTAAAGGGAGCTACAAATTGAGGAAATGTTGGCAGATGTCCTCAAGAAAATAGGCATGATTTTAAAAATTACATATTTAAATCTCAGATCTCAAATGAAATATTAAAAGACCGATAGGGTTAGCAAAAAAACTAATTTGTCTTCACTCATCAAATCTGTATTATGTAGGAATTTTTTTGCATTGATCCATTCTATTCCCAGCAAGCATTTACTCCAAGCTTGTCAAGAGATCAGCAGCATGGACTAGAAGATGCAGCATTTTTTTAGGGCAACCAGGACCTGGTCAAGTCCTCCTCTCTCTTTACTGGCCACTTGGCTCAATTCAGTATATATATTTTTATCCAAAAATTGGAAATAAAAATACCTGTTCTGCTTACTTCGCAGAGGTTTAGCAAGGATGGAATGGATGACTGGGTACTGAGCTCTGTCCAAAAAATTACATAACTCTTCCAGGCCACAAGCCAATTTTATATGACAGTAGGAGAAACACATACCGAAAATATTTAAGTGCCAGACAAAATTGAATATATGATTAAAAAGAGCAATACATATAGAAAGTGCTACAGCAGTTCAGAAAACGGGGGAAGCCAATAGAGATTGAGTCAGATGTGATTCTACAACCTCCCTAACGACCCACACATTGCCTTGAAACACATCTCTAACCTGAAACCTTCAGGCTCTGTCTTCAACCTGTTTTCATTTGTTCTGTCCCCAAATTATAGCTGACCGCTTACTATAATTAAGTCATTCTTCAACCTTCTGCCTGAGGTCTCCTCCACTGCTTTTGCCCAATCCAGGATTTAGCACTGTGGGAAATATGGCTCCAGGTCCAGCGTGCTCTGCCCTTCTCATTTGGTACCTAGGGAGAATTCCTTTTCCTTCCCACTCCTAAATTCCTCTAATTCTCTGATTTCTAAGTCTGCTCTTTAAGAAACATTCTGTGATGAGTTCACTTCCTTTGCAGGGACATGGATAAAGCTGGAAACCATCCTCCTCAGCAAACTAATACAGGAACAGAAAACCAAATACCGCATGTTATTACTCATAAGTGGGAGTTGAACAATGAGAACACATGGACACAGGGAGGGGAACATCATACACCGGGACCTGTCAGGGGCTGGGGGGTAAAGGGAGGGAGAGCATTAGGACAAATACCTAATGCATGTGGGGCTTAAAACCTAGATGATGGGTTGATAGGTGAAGCAAACCACCATGGCACATGTTTACCTATGTAACAAACCTGCACTTTCTGCACATGTATCCCAGAACTTAAAGTAACAAAAAAAAAAATACAAATAAAAACATTCTGTGTACTTCATGAAGCAATTCTGCCACAGGCCTTAACGATGGCCACTTCTCATTCTAAATCCCTTCCCTACATCCTCACTGTTTCATGTTCAGTTTCAGTTTTAGAATAAATGATTAATCGAATTCTCCTGAAGCAAATGGCGGGAGACATTATGCTTTGGTTGTAATAAAATTTCATTGCAAATGCACTGATAGAAGTCACAGTGAAATATTACAGGGTCTAGAGACCAAAGAGAAAACAACCAGGAATAAAGGAAACAAAAAAAGCAATGTTCTGAACACAGTTCTGGGGGAAACTTTACCTTTAGACGGTGTAATGGATATGCCTCGGTCCTTATTCTCATGCTAGTGCATTAGTCCGTTTTCACACTGCTATAAAGAAATACCCGAGACTGGGTCATTTGTAAAGGAAAGATGTTTAATTGACTTGCAGTTCTGCGTGACTGGAGAGGCCTCAGGAAACTTATAATTATGGTGGAAGGGGAAGCAGTTGCATCTTACATGGTGAGAGAGAGTGTGTGTAAAGGAAGAACTCTGCAACACTTCTAAAACCATCAGGGATCTCATGAGAACTCACTCACTATCATGAGAACTGCATGGGGGAACCGCCAATCACCTCCTTCCTTCTACAGGTAAGGATTACAGGTACCTCCTTTAACACGTGGAGATTACAATTTGAGACAAAATTTGGGTGGGGCCACAGAAGCAAACCATAACACTAGCCATTGAAACAGTGCTACGTTTTGTTAGAAGAGTTTTGTTTTGTGTTCAGGGGCAGGGAGGATGTCGAGTGAAAATGATTTAAGATATTTTTGAATTCTTGGTGTGGAGGAAATAAAGGGTAATTATTACTGTGTTCTTCAACACTACATAAACACCCACTTTTCTCTGGTCTGGACCAACAGCATCTCCAAAGGAATGGGGATCTGTCCAAGACAAGAGCTCCCCAAAGCTGTTGCCCTGTGTGGAAGGTGACTCAGCCATCCTTGATTGGCAACGAAGTAGGTTCTGCAAACTGTGCTTCCCTGATTCAGGTCAATAGTTGCTACTGATTTATAGCTATGGTGGGATAATTTAAGGGGAAGGATAGAGCATCTTGGTTATGGAGATTTATGAACTTACCTGACCAGCAAACCACATTATTCGTGATGCCTGCCAACCAGGCTTCAGATATATTTTGGTTTTAGTGGCATTCTTCTAAAACGTCCATCAAAGACAGCCCCCAGGAACATTTTATTCCTGATTGCCATATATTCTTCACTTATTGTAATTTGCTTAAGCAGACGTTACGATACTAAATTGGCTTCGTATTATGCACAGAGGTACTAGCTTCCAATACCTTCTGAAATAAGCAAGCAGAAGGGGTAATTAAATCTTGTCTTTTTCTTCACATTGCTCGGCATGTTCTTTTATTTTTCTGGCTCCTATGCTGACAACCCAGCAGGAGATTTTACAAGCCCAAAATACCTGATTACTTCCCAACCCCAGAGAAAGGGACAGAACATGCTTGGGAAGAAGGAAAGCTAATGGCAGCTTCGCTGGAGGTGAGAACAGGGTGAAAGTTGAGGAAGCTCAGAGCGGAATGAATTCCAAACAGCTTGGGCAGGGCTGACCTCGCCGTCTGCCGTGTCCTGAGAGGCAGGTGTCGCACTGCAGTCACATCGCTGTTCTTTCATTGTGTGATGAATTTCCAATACATCCCCGACATGGCAGGGGAGGCGGGTTCCAAAGTGGAACCGTGTTCGAGCATTCTGTCTTCTACTGCTCCCTCAGTGGCGTAAACATAGAAGTCGTGATTTGCTTAGAACAACTCCTGGCAATGAAGGGAGTGGCTGAGACACTGGCCTGGGATTCCAGGCCTTCCCCAGCAAACGCATAGTGCAGGCCACCTGCGCTCTGCTCCGGTAAAAATGCCGCACAGCGTCTGATGCGTCCGCACTGCCTGGACCTGGGAACACTCATCCCACAGGAGAAAGAAACCTGATGTACTCATCCATCAGGACCACGACTCTCAGAACACGCATCCAACTAGCCGTCTGCGGTTGGGTAGAGAGGCCCTGGGGCACACTTTTAGCCCTGCTAGAAAGTTGGCCTCGTAACTGGCCGGCTTATTCCAGGAATGTTTTCATTTTTCTTTCTAAGGTCAACCTGATCACACTGCCGAGGCTACAAGCACACAAAGGCTGCAGGCACATAAACAAAAGATGAAAAAACAGACTCCCGGGCAGAGAAAACAGGGTCAGAGGTGTTGCCGTGCCTGTGAGGCCTTTGCTGGCCGCCTGCGTTCCGGTGGCAGCCAGTGACCGTCCTGCACCTTCCTGCCGACTGCAGAGACCTCAGGCCACCCTTGGCTCTGACCTGTGTTTCCCAGGCTGCCTCTGCACCTGCCTGCTAAAGCCTTCCTCGGTTTCCTTTGGTAAAGTATTGAGTGATGAATTTTCTCACCAGGTTCTTAAGGCAAGGAAGAGTCCCCCTGGGGTGCAGGCTGAGAGACAGGTCTCTGTGGAACAAGGAGGAGGGATGGAGGAGTTCTGTGTGGGAGTGTGGTGGGCTGGTTGTTGATTTATTCATTTGCAGTTGGGGCAGCTTTGAAAGGGAGGTGAGAGAAGATGAGGGAAGGGGAGGGGAGGGGAGAAGGTGGAGGGAAGGGAAAAGGAGAGGAGGAGAGGAGTGACGAGGAGAGGAGGGGAGTGGGGAGGAGGGGACAGAAAGGTCTGGAGAAAGAGCCAGCCAGCCAATGTGGAGGAATTTTAAAACACAGATATCTGTCCTTCACTTTAACTGAGTTAATGAGTGAATTTTCCCACCAGCCATCTTACTGGGATGTCAAGTAAGAAGGAAGCAGAGGCTCAGAGACCGATGGTCACTGGGATGATATCAAAATTGACAGAAATTTGATGACAGAGAAGTCCCACTTTTGTTCTGTTTTGCTTCATAGCTGTTGTTTTTTTGTCTTGTCTTTGTTTCTGACTCCTGGCCTTTGCCTCCTATCCCCTGCCTGAGCAGCCAGATGCACACACACTCTAGGTCCACACAGAGTCCCCCGGACTCGCTCCACCCTGTCAAGCCTCTGCACGTGGCAATTTCTTCTTTTTTTTTTCCTGGTTCGACCACCTTGGCCTGGTTTTTCATCTTTTTGTTTTAACTCCCTTCGTGTGTCACGCACCTTCCCTTTCAACTGTGCTGCACACACTGGATTCTGCTGTTGCTTTTCTGAGCTAATTCCTACCTGTCCTTCAGTTCTCAACCTGCACGTCAGCTCTTCACGGAACCAGCTCCTCCACCTCCCTGAAGAGGTGCAGACCTTCCAGCCTGTGCTACCTGACCATCAGGGATTCTTCATGGAATGTATCACAGGTGTCATCAACGAGTCACTTGGAGATTGACTTGGATGAGAGCTATTTCTCCCTGTAGCTATTTTTGCCTAATTACAAAAAAAGGAAAAGATGGCTCCTTCCCCAGTATTTCTGAGTGTCTTTCTGAGGAAGGGAAGCTGTGTGCCTGGCCATGCTGACGTGGCCCACCACTGCCTGGCTTGACCTTCTCCTCCTCCCAACACCTCTGAGATGTTATCGTCTCCCATGATGCTTCCACTCACTGCCGTTCTGTTTGATCTTAACCTGAACGTGACTCCCATCAGGGCTCCTGGTCACTTACAGCGATTGACTGAAGCTTTACTGAGGATGGTGTGCGGCGCCTATAGTAGAAGATAAATTAATCCAGTTTAGTCCATAAATGCTCTATAGTGGTTGATGGTTGTAATTTATCATAGAAATTTTGCATCATTTAACAGATTGATAGATTCAAATTTTAGTGGCTATAAACTGACATTTTAAAACAAAACATGACAAGATGGCAACTATGCTTTTACATGACTAGCATTTTAACAGAGACCCACTTCTCACTCAAAACCAGCTGAAGTTAGAGTTTTGCCTCTGTCCACAGCTAGCTCAGGCGGTGGCTCTTTCTCCTCTGCATTCAAAGCACTCATTGAACTCCCAGGAAAAGACTCATAGTTTAGAGTGCTACTGAGAGTTTTGTGTGTCTGTCTTGTCTCAGAAATTGCATTATTCACCCATTGAGAGCAGTGAGGGTGTTTGCTAGTTCTTTAATTTGACATAGAGTTTGACATGGAATGGTAATCAATACACATTGACTGATGTGTTGGTGAAAACTGGGGGGCCCTGATGTCCCCAGTAGAGTAAGAAACACAAACCCATGCTTTTAGGTCAACACCACACAACGTCATAAATGGACAATTTATAAATCACTTGAACTTGCTATTTTTAACAAGTATACAAATCTTTGTGTAGCACTCGGAAAGATTGCATTGAAGCCTTACCAATGAAAAGCTATGATTTTAAACATAAAACAAAACTAGGTACCTGTGCATGCGGCTTGACAGTTGCACAACCTGCCAGACCCTGCTGCACTTTGAAATGTTGCCATACTCAGCACTTCAGCTCCAACTGAAAAACACTCAGAGAAGCGGCTCGTGTTTAACAAAAGCCTTCTGTGTCATCCCAAACTGAGTGTTTAGCACCTGGCCTTCCTCCTGCAGGAGGCCTCACATCATGGCAGAAGGTGAAGGAGAAGCAAAGGCACGTCCTATATGGCTGCAGGCAAGAGAGCGTGTCCTGCCCTTTATAAAGCCATCGGATCTTGTGAGACTTAATCACCATCACAAGAACAGCATGGGCAAGGCCTGCCTCCATCATTCAATTACCTCCCACTTGGTCCCTCCCATGACATGTGGGAATTATGGGAGCTACAATTCAAGATGAGATTTGGGTGAGGACACAGCCAAACCATACCATATATGTGTGTGTATATTTGTGTGTGTGTATATATACATACACACACACACACACAATCAATAGGACATATATATTCGTTCTGTTTCTCTGGAGAATCCTGACTAACATAGTTGTCAATGCAAAAACATAACGACTTTCTTTCTTTCTTGAAATAAGTAAGTGATCTCTTTCAGGCAGCTGTTGATGGACTGTCCGATATGTTTAATTATTTTCTTATTTCAGCCACTTCTCTACATTAGATATTTTTGATAGTCAATATACAGAATTGTACTTTGAATCATTGAGCACAGAGCATTAAATCTTATACATGGAAGATTCTCATTAGATATTTATTTAGGATGGCTTTCTGATTGCTGTAACTTACATTTAGTTGACAAGCACGAAAGCATTTTACAAGAGTTAGGAAGCAGCTGCTCCAACCTCATGAACGAAGGAAAGGAGAGGGCCAGAAGGCCATTCTACCTCACGCCCTGTCTCCCAATAATCTCCAATATGAGCTGTTAGACAACCCCTTTAAGGAGAAGTTTACATCCTGAGTATTTCCAAAGATCGGTAGTGTGTGGCTTACACTCTCATGCAAAATTCAGATCTTAGAAAAGAGGAGCTGAGTGTAGAGCCACCCAGAGCCTGAGAAAATGCGTTTAAAGGCTCTCAACCTTGCAGGAGGTGCTGCAAATCGAACCCAGAAAACTGACCACCCCAGTGTAATGGCACTGGGCCTCTGTCACTTAGCAGGACTTGTTTTTCTCCTGTCTCAGGTCTGGTTCCCCAGAAGCAAACCCGAACTCACTAGAATTAAGACCAGAATTTGCCTTCAAGCAGGTGAAACTGACAGGGAAGAGGAAGAAGAGGAAGGGGCCCACCCACAGCCTCATCTCAGGCAAGGTCCCTGGTGCTGCAGTCTGGCCCCAGAGGAGAATCCTGAGTGTTCACTCTTTCCAGGGGCCGGGGAGTCAGGCTTTCAGACGCTGTCACACAAGTGAGTCCAAGGCGCTTCTTCTCTCTGACCCTCCAGGCAAAGCAGCTCTGGGAGCCCAAGGGGAAGCCCCCACAGAGGCAGCTCAGGAGTTAATGCTAAGAAGCAAAGGCAGCAGAGGCTGTCATTGAGATTTATTCTTTATCATTCCATTACTTTTTTAACGTTTCTTTTTGGCCAGGCATGGTGGCTCACACCTGTAATTTTACCACTTTGGAAGGAGACTGGGGAGGTGGATTGCTTGTGCCCAGAGTTTGAGACCAGCCTTGGCAACAAAGGGAGATCATAAATAATCTAGAAAATCCAAATTAAAAAGATAATAATAGATACTGACACTCACCTGATTAGCAAAGTTAAAATGGTGTGCCAGTACCATCTCTACAAAAAATACACACATTAGCCTGGTGTGGTGGCACCCACCTATAGTCCCACCCACTCGGGGGCTGAGGCAGGAGGATCAATTGAGCCCAGGATGTGGAGGTTGCAGTGAGCAATGATCACACTCCAACCTGCATGACAGAGCAAAACCCTGTCTCAAAACCAAACATTTTTTTACACAATTGTTTTTCTTACATAATTGAACAAGTTGTAGAGAATGTGGGTAAGTCCTTATATGTGAATATTATATAGTCACCTAGGGTGTCAAATCTGAGAAATAAAGGGTTGAGTATTTATAGCACGATAAAATTTTTTAATTTCTAATTAGCACTTACAGCAAAACTTGTATGGCATATGGATTGAATCTTGCTCGTGGTTTAAAGAAAGAAGAGCTATTAGATACAGGGATGTAATCATTGAATTAGGATCTAAACATCTCATAACAGACCTACATATTTGGAGGCCAATGAAACAGGCTCAATTATATAAAAAATAAACATACAATTCCCTCAGAGGCATCTCTAAGGTAGCGATTGAAAACATGTGCTCTGGCATCAGAGGGCCCACGTTTTCACCACTGCTCCACTATATGCACTGTGAGATTGTCAGCAAGCTATTAACCCTCACTGTGGCTCAGTGTCTTCATTTAATGAGTAGGGACAATAGCACCTATCTTGCAGGGTGGTCATTGTGGGGGATTCAATGACACAGTATACATAAAGCACTTAGTCTAGTCAACAATTCCAGCCATCTCTCCTCCACAAGAAGGAGCATAAATGAAAGATATTGTTCATGCGATCACATGGAGATTGAGGTGTAAGGAGGCCTTCTTATCAACAGGAGGATGTCATAACCAAATCACATGCAATGGGTTATTAAAATGTCAGACACTGTGATAGAAATTTGATATATTCTGTATCTTTGCATCCTCAGAGCAGCCTAAAAACTAGGTACTATTATTCATCCATTTATGTAAACAGAGAGTCAGAAAAGTTAAGTCATACAATATACAAATCAACTAGAATTAGAACCCAAATTAACACCTTAAGATAGACATGGAAAAAGGTGTGCTAATTTCAAGGAGGGAAAAACAGAACAGTTAAAAAGCATGAAACTAGGACATATTCGAGGAGCCTGGACATGGTTGTTATAAACAATCAAACCACAATTAAACTCTCATGACACTTGTCACAAGAATGCGTGTTTGTTCCAGAGGTCAAAAGTACAAGTAGGAGATAGAAAGTGGGTTAGAAGAGCATTGAGAGTTTGGGGATGAGATAATGCCCATTAAAACCTTAGCTTTTAATAGTTCTGTATGTTTTTAAGCAATTATCAGAAGGTAAATGTTGCCCAGTAGGACCTGAAACGTGGAGGGAGTATTAAAACCATCTACCAATCCCAATCTCATTCCAGGCAGAGAATGACTATGCTGAAACCAAGGGCCACTGAAGCAAATGCTGGAAATATTAAGTCTGGGCATCTGGTTCGAATTAATTTCAGTGGCAGAAGAATATTATCAATTACCTACTAAAATAGAATTAACTATGTTAGTGTGGAACACAGAGAGACCAATCATTATTTACCTCAGTGAAATGAGGTAGCCTCAACTCCAGAGATCCCAGCTCAACCCAAGCAGGGCAGCCTTTGGCTCAGAAAACCTTGCCCAGTGTTCAGCACGCAGACCGTGTATGCCTTCGGTGTGTCCCAACTGAAATGGAGACCACCACGTTGTTACAAAAGGCTTGGGGCTGTGGTGAGCAAGTTCCTGTCTATCAATTCCAGGTTACCAGAGTGAAGGGGTAAGACTCCAGGCACCCGGCTTGAAGACACATTGGCCCGGAGTAAACGCTGTTCTGCCAACTGCGGGTGTTGCAGCCAATTCCTTTCTAATCCTTAATTTCCTTGTCTGTATGAAGGACAGTCATGGAAGTTGCATGAGACATGCATCCAATGTTTGCCACAGAGGAAGTCCTCTGCAGGCATTAACTCTCATGTTATTAAAGCGCCTGCCATTTTATGGTGACTTCCTCTTTTCACATTAATCTGTCTTATTCTGCTATCATCCTTTTCATGTTACAAACCTGAAAGCTAATAAAAGATTACCAATTCCACTACAGTATATATTCTATCCTTGGGTCTTTTATTTTGGCATAGTCTAAAGCACTGTGCAGCACATAGAAGTGTCCAATAAATCTTTGGCAAATTAAAGAGATTGAAGTATTAATAGCATTAACATTCATTCTGTATTTTCTTTGTGCTGGGCCCCGTCCTAAGTGTTTTACATGCTTGAACTCCTTTAATCTTTACTAACCGTCTTGAAACGTAAGTACTGTATGAATGAAATACATTTTTGATGAATTAAAAGAATGCCGTTTTTGTTGCCATAGCAACACGGGTCTGAAAATATGAATCCAAGTTTAGAAGCCGTAATCATTGTTTTCTGCCTCAGTTTTAATGTGCTGTTGAAGGTATTTATATGAAAATAGCTACAGCAAGGGACCTGCCCCCAGGGCGATTTTTATCATCGATGTCATTGCTTCCCAAGATTGAAAGCGGTTGTTCTAAAATCTGGATCCCCAAAATCTGGTAGGGCAGCATTTCGTGAACTAAGGCACCCAGACCCAGGAGGTCCTTGGTAACATTTCAGAGACCTGTAAAACCAAAGGAGGAAAGTTGGTAGGTATTTAGGAAGTTGGGTTTGGATTCAATTGTTAAACAACTTAAAACATTAGTTTCTAGTGAAACACACATGACGTATTACAGAAAGTTCACTGCTTGCCTGAATGTTGAATATATATATATGTTGAGTTTGCCTCAAACTGCCGCAGACAGACACTCCCAGGCTTCCCCTGTTTCTGCTTACACTAGGGCAGCCCAGAGTGCATCACAGAAATCTCTGGCGTGCTGCAGCCTCCACCTGCAAAGGAAATGTGCTTCATTGAGGGCAGAGCTGCTCATCATGATGGCAGCAACCAAGAATGTGGCGGAGCTGAGTCTTTAACGTGTTATTCTCGAGCACAATATGAGCGGTGTGGAGTTACTGCTATTATTTTATGTTTTAATCGTCTCACAACTCACCAGCTTCCAGGGACTGATTTTATCATCTTTGCATAATGGTGCAAATTGGGCAAGGATGGGAATACACCAAAAATAAGTCTGTACCATGGTGGTGGCAAAGGGCAACGCCTAGATACTGGACCCAGAATTGACCTTGTATTTATCAAAGGCAGTTTTGCAGAGACTGTGTTTAAAATACCTTAGAATCAACCTCAACATACATTTTTTAAATCAGAAAAACTTTGGTATCAGGATTCAATTTTCTTTTTCTTTTTTGAGATGCAGTCTCACTCTGTCACCCAGGCTGGAGTACAGTGATGCGATCTCGGCTCACTGCAACCTCCACTTCTGGGGTTCAAGTGATTCTCCTGCCTCAACCTCCTGAGTAACTGGGACTACAGGCACACGCCACCATGTCCTGCTAAATTTTTTTTTGTATTTTTTAGTAGAGACGGGGTTTCACCATATTGGCCAGGCTGGTCTCGAACTCCTGACCTCACGATCTGCCCACCTTGGCCTCCCAAAGTGCTGGGATTACAGGCGTGAGCCATGGCACCTGGCCCAGGATTCGATTTTCTAATTACTTTTTCTCTTAAGTGGATGGACTTTTTAAAATAAATTTTATTTTGTTTTTAATTGACACATAATAACTGTACATAGTTATGGGGTACAGTGTGATGTTGGATACATATATCGATTGTGTAATGATCAAATAACACAAGGATGACTGACCTATCCATCCACTCAAACACTTGTCATTTCTTGTGGTGAGAACATGCAAAATCCTCTTTTCTAGCTATTTTGAAGTATACATTATTATTGATTCTAGTCACCCTAGTGTGCAGCAGAACACCAGAACTTACTCCTTCTATCTAACTGTAAATTTATACCTGTTGACCAACCTCTCCTCACCCCCTCCTCTTCCCCTCTTCCCAGCCTCTGGTGACCACTGTTCTACTCCGTGCTCCAATGAGATCAACTTCTTCAGATTCTACATCTGAGTGAGATCGTGCAGTGTTTGTTTTTCTGTGTTTGATGTACTTCACTTAACATAATTTTCTCCAAGCTTATCCACTTTGCTGCGAATGACAGGATCTTATTCTTTTTTACGGCAGAATAGTATTCCATTGTGTGTGTGTGTGTGCCTTATTTTCTTTACCCATTCATTTACTGATGGGCACTTAGGTTGATTCCATATCTTGGCTATTGTGAATAGTGCTACACAAACATGGAAGTGCAAAAGTCTCTTCCATAGGCTGATTTCTTCGCCGTTGGATGCGTATCCCAGCACTGGGATTGCTGGATCATATTTGGTGTATAAGGCCACTTTTGTAGTACTTTATTCACAGAATACAGTCTAAAACTGTTTGCCAAGTGAAACAATTATTAAAGAATAACAGTGATGGTCTGGTTAAAATACATTCTGTAAGAGGAATTTTTTTTTTTTTTTAAACGGAGTCTCACTGTCGCCCAGGTTGGAGTGCAGTGGCGAGATCTCGGCTCACTGCAGGCTCCGCCCCCCAGGGTTCATGCCATTCTCCTGCCTCAGCCTCCCGAGTAGCTGGGACTACAGGCGCCCGCCTCCTTGCCTGGCTAATTTTTGGTATTTTTAGTAGAGACGCTGTTTCACCATGTTAGCCAGGATGGTCTCGATCTCCTGACCTCGTGATCTGCTGTAAGAGGAATTTTTAAGATCCCATTTATATAACATTCTCTAAATTTAAAACATCATTCATGCTATTTATATTAATTAGGTAGTAAAACAAGAAAAAAGGGGTTGAACTGAGCTGAATTGTCAAATTATTCTTTTGAGTTTCTTATTGGTTTGTTTTTAATAAGAACACATGAAAGACAAAAATAGGTGGCATCTGTAGCTTTACTATCACCAAGTCACTACTTGCTAATATTTTAGAAATTTTTTAGTCTTTTTTGCATATCTTATAAGGTAATTATACTACTATGTTATTTGTCACCTAACATAAGCACATTTTACATTATTAGAAACTTTTACAAACATTTTGATGAGTACTTGATATTTTGTTGCCTAGTGGTAACATGCTATAACTAATCATTTCTATATGTTTAAATTTAGATCATTTCTTATAATTTTATTATTATTATAAATACAGCTTGATGAAAGGTTTTGTATGCATCCAATTTATCCACATATTTTGGGATTATTATCTTAGGAAGATTTTCCAAAGTAAGGATACTGAATCAGCAGGTATGAACATTTAAGATTTTTGCCAATTTGCTTTCTTAAAAGGCTTGCACTTATTTATATTCATACCAGCAATAGACCGGAGCACCCATTTTTTTAACCGAAAAAATTACACATTAAAAACGACATCATTTCTTTTTCATGCAAGTCTTTTGAGCAACATGAATGGCTAAATGCCAGAACTGGGATGGGTAGTTAGTGCTCCATGAATGTATGCATGAAGTGCTATGCTAGTAAAGAAAGTTAAAAGGCAATTTAAAGTGTTAGCTTTGAAAGTTAAGTAAGACTTAGAAAGGCAGAATAAATTGTATGTAAAAAAGTATAGAGAGACAACAATGTCTTTGTGTGGCAGAGAAGGGTTTTGTTAGAACAACAGGCTTATTGATGGGAATGATATGTGTGATATAGAATTTAATGTCAACTTGACTGGGCTACAGGGTGCCCAGATATTTGGCCAAACATTCTGGGTATTTTTATGAAGGTGCTTGGATGAGATTAACATTCAAGTTGATAGACTGAGTAAAGCAAATTGCAGTCCCTAATGTGCATGAGCCTCATCCAATCAGTTGAAGGTCTGAATGGAACAAAAAACTGACCTCCTCCAAGCAAGTGGAAATTTTTCCTGCCTGTCTGCTTTTGAATTGGGACACTATTTTTTTCCTGACTTCAGGCTTGAACTAAAACATTAGCTCTTTCCAAGTCTTGAGCCTTCCAGCTGTGACTGCAACTCACCCATGGACTCTCCCAGGTCTCCAGACCACAGACTGCAGAGCTTGGTATGCAGCCTCCATAATCACAGGAACCAGTTCCTTATAGTAGATCTTTTCTTCTGGGTAAGCACATCCTGTTGGTCTGTTTCTCTGGAGAACCCTCATACAGCACCTTTTAACAGTTTTCTACATATTCACTAATGAGCTGTATTTCCTTACTTTTGAATTATCTGTTTATGCTGTACACCTATGTATCTATTAGGACATTTCACTAACGAGCTGTATTTCCTTACTTTTGAATTACCTGTTTATGCTGTATACCTATGTATCTATTAGGACATTTCGTATTGATTGCTGTGAATAAAATTCTATCCATTTTCACAGTGTTTGTTAGTAATCCTTTAACTGTCTTCCCCAGCTTCTCATCCTAAAATTCCAAGAAACTCTACCAGAAACACTAAATGTTTATTAGAAATTAAGACAAAGAAATACTCATCTAGAAAAAAAAGAAGAATGGAAAAGTAGAGTACGTGGGATATGGCTCTTCATCCTCTGGGTCAAAATAAATAAATACATAAATAAATAAGAAAAGAAAAAATGAAAATAGATCCTATAGTTAGTCCACCGTGGATTAGTTGTTCTTTTGTCTCTATTTAAACATCACATGCCAAAGACTGCATGTGGGTTCTCCAACAATACATGAGACGTCACCACTGTGGAGTGACTTGACATAACTATACAGTTAAGTTTCTATTTGTATTGGAGAGATTTTGTCTATGAAAATAATTAAGCTCTGAAAGCCATTGTCAGCAGAAGCAAATACATTAATTTGAGAATACAAGAGAGATAGAAAGTGATCATGAATTAGGGTAAATAGATAAATAAAACAAACAATCTTTTTGCTTGTAAATCATGTGAAGGTAATTAGCTGGAGTCATTGAATAGAGTGACTGGTTTCAGGGCAGAAGATGCAAGTATTTCTCCAGTCTCTGTAGACTTCCCCATGGACTGTCCATCTCTCGGTGTTGGCATTTCCTCCAGCTCTCAGTCTTGGGAAATAGCTTGGGAAGATACTATTCCAGTATCTTCTTCAGCTCCCCATGGCTTCACAGGTGGCACCTTCCTATATATCACAGTCATCTGTCCTTAAACCAGTTGACAGGAGTTTCTACCAGCTGATCACTAGCTTGGAAGTTGAAGTGTAGAAAAGTAAAACTCTGTCACCCAACAAGAGTTGTTTCTGACCTCTGCTGTGGCTCGTAAGAATTTATTTAGCTGTTCCTGGTTGTCTATGCAGAATCTCCTTGAAACACTAAAAAACCCTCTACTCTTGAATGAATCAGGCTAAAAGTCTTTCTGGCCTCGCTTGCTATTGTTCTGCCTTGTGGCTGACACGGAGACAGGTCAGGGAGGCACAAAGCCCGCAGCCCCCTTTGACGAAAGCACTACCTTCCAGGGTCTCTCTGGGGGCTGGCTGCTAACTAGATTAGCAAAGGACGTTTCCCCAGATCCTTACCCATGATATGAATGAAGCATGTCTATAAAGAGAGGCTCAGAATCCATTCTCCACACTAACGATCTCAGCGTGCTCTGCTGCCTAACGTTCACGTGCAGAAAAATAAAAACTGGAATTAGAAAAGTCGGAAGGAGATGAAATTCTAGCCCCAAAACCCAACTGGCCAATTACTAGCCACAGTAAGTGTAATCATTCATTTTTTTTTCTGAGACTAAAATTAAAACTATTATTATTTCCCCACTTAATGGTTTAAGTTTAACAAATGGTTGTAAATATTTTAGCATGCAAAAAGCTTTTTCTTAATAGGAGCTCATTCAAAATATAGGATAGTAATTAAAGAAAACTGCTGGTGTTTATAGTCTGATACTCTCACTATTAAAATGAACTATGTATAAAAAAAAAGTGTACCGTAAATGGCAATTATGGTGTGGGAGCTAAATGCAGATAATTCATACTTCTCCCATAATAGCACATGTGATCTTGGATGTTTGATACAATTCATAACACAAAGAAACTGATAACATTGCCAAAAGAAAGTCATACAGATATTTCTAGTTTCTATTTTCTACTGTAAAAAAAAAGTTCTTAATTATTTAGAGTGAGAGTCTTTTTTTTTTGCTGAAATTTCTGTAACAAAACCACTTCCTTTAAAGATGCATGATAAAGTACAGGCCACTGCTCATTGCAAAACACATCTGTGCAAAATTGCTAAAGAATCAATTCTAATATTTCCTTTCTTTTTAGATTGTGCTAGCTTGTGCTATAATGCTCATGAAAAGTGCTTCTAAAGTTGCAAAAGAAAATTTTGTGTGGAACATTAGTTTAGGTAGAGCATTGGTTTAGGAAAAAAAATACACCTAAATATTTGAAAAGATTTAACCAGTCATATTTATACTATGTGGACTCCAATATTTTCTTCTTATTAATTTGTACCACAGATGCTTCCAATAAAGATTTGCAGTGGATTCACATAAAACACACAGATAGAACAGACACAAAGACCATTAAAAGAAGACTAAAAAGAAACGAGGGTCAAGCAGTGATCTTCACAGACTCCTCTAGTAAAACTGTAATTCTAAATCATATGACCTCTCTGGGCCACACCTGCCTGGGAGAAGCAGGTTTATGGAGTAGAAAGATATCAGGGCAGAAATCGCAAGCCTTCAGGTCACTGCATCCATGAGCCATCAATTTCCTCACCCGTCAGCAAGAAGAACCATGAGAAGACAAAAGAAAAAGAAAATACAAAGAACAAACAGGTCAACTGAGCCCACGGAAACACTATTGATCCTGTGCTGTGTGACCAGTTCAGGGACAATGCAGATGAATCCATTCTCTGCCTCAGGAAGCTCACAGTCTAGTATAAGAAGGAGGGGGATGTAGGGTCCTGAACAAAATAATGCAATGACAGAGGAAGAAACGTGCACAACAAGAAGCCACCTCACCGGGCCAGAGGCAGGCAGTGGGAGGTGCTGCCCACAGAGCCATGCAGTGGAGACATCTCTCCTAAAGTTCCAGCTGAAAGCATGCCCTGGGTCAGGGAAGTTCATTCCAGTGTCTCTATTCCGTCCTCACCCCCACCTGGCCTTGGCTCTCTTCTCCATTCTGCTTCTTTTCCAAGCTGCCAAGGCAACATTGTAGAAGCATGAAGCTGCAAGGGATCTCAAAACCAGCAGGCCCAGAAATGTCCAAAGCTTCAAGATAGATCATGCTCTTGTCACCCATCTCTCTCTTGGAAATAATCTCGGCATCTTCTCAGCAGACGGCCACACAACCTCGGTGGGAAGGATAGGAGTATAGAGATGGCCGCTGGGTCTGGCTTCTTTCCAAAAGAAGGCGGCTCTCCTTGAGCAGCTCCTGACTCTCAGGGCGTCAGTTGACACATTGTAAGGTGGCGGTGGGGTTGAGTTTTGAGGGTCTTTGTGGGGTTTCATCAACACTGGTGTGAATTTGTTTTCTAACTTTAGTTTCAGCAGCTTTTGTGTATTTGAATCCATTATCAGGAACAACTGCCCAGTGGCCACGGCAAATTCCCCAGCCCCATCCCAGTCCAGTCCTGAATGCTTAGTTAGGCCATGCCTTAACATTCTCTTATACTTCTTACCTTTTTTTAGGGACTCTCTTTTCCATGCCTGTGGTCAAAGTCAACACTCCTCTGTGGACTTTCTGTAGTTTCTCCTACCCTCACTCTAAGTATGGTGACAGAACATTCCATGATGTTCAAGGAGGTATTAGTCCATTCTCATGCTGCTAATAAAGATACTTGAGGGTGGGTAATTTATAAAGGAAAGAAGTTTAATGGACTCACAATTCCATATGTCTGGGGAGAACTCACAATGATGGCAAAAGACAAAGGAAGAGCAAAGGGATGTCTTACATGGCGGCAGGAAAGAGGGCGTGTGCAGGAAAACTCCCATCTATAAAGCCATCAGATCTTGTGAGACTTATTCACTATCACAAGAACAGCACAGAAAAAAACTCACCCCTATGATTCAATTGCTTCCTGCTGGGTCCCTCCCATGACACACGGGGATTATTACAAGTCAAGGTGAAATTTGGCAAGGGACATAAAGCCAAACCATTTGGCAGGAGGTTCTCAATAAAGCTGGGTGTTTTCTACTGTCGTGTTCCTGATTCTGTAACCACCTTTGTGACCTAGAAAGTGCCTCCTCAAATTAAACACATTATTTTCAGGGTTTATAAGCACCTCATCTCTGTGAATTATATATTGAATAAGAGAATATCTTGATAAATGGTAAGGACTTCCTCAAACTTAAGCCACCTTCATTCATTTACTAACATATTTATGTGGTAAACAAATCATTATTCAGAACTTACTCAGTTTTACATACCATGCTAAGTGCTGGCAAAGTTTTCATAGGAAAGCAGTCATTAAAAGAAACTGCAGATTTAAATAGGCTTTATATTGCTATATATACACACCACCTTCACCCATTTACCTCTCTGTCTTTATACAGATTGATTTATGATCCAACCATCCATGCGCTCACTCTATCTATCACTATATTATAAGCCTCTCAACAATGGGGACTGAACTCTATCTGCCTTTTTATAACCCAAGAACATCACCTTTTGATGACTAGCCAACCCCTGAATGCCAGTGGTCATTCATTCATTTACTCATTCAACAAATATCCATGCTGTGCACTTCCTTGTGCTTGAGATTTAGCATTACAAAGCAGGCAAGATCCTTGCACTCAACAACCTTAAAAATTAAATTGCACTGAGGAAAAATGGAATATAAAAATTAACAAAAGGATAAACAACACCACAAAATACCAAATAGGCATGAGTACTAAGAAGATGAGTAGAGGAGAGTAATGTAAGAAGGACTGACACAGTACTGTAACTTGAGGACTGGAGAAGGAGAGAGGAAGGAGAGGAGGTCTGGGCTGAGCCGAGATCTGAGTGGGGAGAAAGAGCAGGAAGACATGAAGACAAAGGACAACAGTGTCACAGTGGAGAGAGGAGCTCATACCAAAGCCAGTCCACCAGATCGCACATTCCATTCCAGGGAGAGAGGCCACTGGGCTGAACGGCAGCAAACATGGGAAGCACGGCACAGACTAGTGGACAGGAATGACTTCTTATGTGTATTACAGGGAATGAGGTGCTTCCTCACCCATCGGCCAAGAGACCTTTTCAGAGCATGTTAGATAATGCAACTCCTCTGCTCGAAATATTCCACACCTCACCAGTTTGGAAGCAGGTCCAGAGCTGAGACAATGATGCAGGCATTTGCTATGCCCCTTGCTCCTAATTCTTGCTCTGGATCTCCACATCAGAAGCTTTCTCGGTGGCTTCCCCAGACACCTGTCTAAAACAACACCTTCCATCTCCACCATCTGCTAGACTTTCCCGTCTTCATCTTTGTTCATTGCCCTCACCAAAGGCTTGATATAAATTAGTTAGTTATTCATCTACTCTTTTACAGTCTATCTCTTGCTCTACAATCACCTTAATTTTGTATATGATTCTATGTTCACTCTCTAAAATAATGTCAGAAACATAATGGTCTTCAATAACTATGGCTTAGGTAAATGAGTGAATGAAATTGTTGATGTAGCGTGGGACCCATTGGGAATTTAGGAAGCTATTGGGTCCATTCTGATGAAAGATCATAGCATCTTGGACTGAGATGCTGGTGCTGGAGCAGCAGAAAATGGCCACACTTGATGGAAGCAATAAGATGTTGTAATGGATCAGATGTGGGAGATAACAGAAAGGGAGGAATTAGCTTGAAATTGTAAGCCTGAAGTTTGAGAAACTAGAGCAGTGGTGGAACTGTTCACTGGGGCAAAGAGGACTAGAAAAACACTGTTAATCTTTTTATTTATTTATATACCTACTAGCTTTGCTGGAGAACTTTCTTTTGTTCCTATCAAACTTGCACAATTGATGAGATAGTTCAATGGAGATGTCAAGTAGGCAATGAATATGACAGTCTGGAGCTAATCAGAGAAGTCTTGGCTGGAAGTACAGAGTGAGCTATTTGCATACAGATGTTTTCAGAGCCATAAGTTTGCATGAAGTCACCCAGGAAGGAAGGACTCTCAGAGAAGAAAAGAGGGTGACGAATCTCTCTCTCTGACATTCAGAGTTTGAGAAGGGGAGAGAGAGACAGCAAAATAGACCTGATAGAAACAACCAATAAAGTAAAAGGAAAATCAGGAAATAGTGAAGGGTCTCAAGAAGAAATGTATGGTCAACTGCATCAAATGCTCCTAAAGTTCAAATTAAATAATTCTGAATAAAATATCATCAGACTTAGCAACGTGGAGAGCACTATTGTGTTGATGAAGCAGTTTTATGTGAAATCCTAAGAACAGAGGCCACAGCAAGACTGCTATTCTTAACATGTGGATCAGAAGAAGGCACGGTATCTCCGTCAATCACCTATATTTATTTGTCTATAAATGTAATTAGCTATTTATCCATATCTATCTATCCAAATATATTTATCATCTATCACTCCATATCCATCCATCCATGCATCCATCCATCCATTCATCCATCCATTTATCCATCCATCTATCCATCTATCCATCCATCTGTCCATTCATCCATCTATCCATCCACCCATGCATCCATCCCTGCAGCCATCCATCCATCTATCCATTCATCCATCTATCCATCCAGCCATCCAGCCAGCCATCCATCCAGCCAGCCATCCATCTGTTCATGTATCTATTATGGCTTTAGAGAGAGCACTCAAGATAGAGACGATATCTAGTCTCCCAGTAGACAGGAGTTAGAATGATACCTCTAGTAAGGTCTAAAAATTCAAGAAAGGGGTTAGTTTGGTCTTTAGATGATAACATAAGGAAGTGTCAAATCCATGGGAGTGGGTGAAATCACTGAGGGAAAGGCTTTATAGAGGGAGGGGAGATACATGAGGGAGAGACAAGTGTTCCGGGGTAGAGAGAGAGTAGTGAGAATGAGTAGAGCTTGCCTCAGGGATCTAATTCAGGGACCAGGCTGATAAACTGCAGAGAACCTTTCAGTGGTTATCGAATTAAATGTAAGTCAAGCTGCAAGATGCAAGAAGTTGAAGTATCCCCTAGCGTGCTCTGTTACTGCAGGAGCATCTCCACATGCCTCCAGGCTGCAGCCTTGCAGCAGCTGCACACACCAAGTGGCCCCGTGCGGCTGCCTCTTGCTCTGTGACTCAGGGGGTGGGGGACCGAACTTCTGACATTTCCAGCAGCCTGACACCCCCTCAGGAAGGCTGACCTCCCTTCCTTCTGATAAATTATAAGCTATTCTTCCCTGAAAGATTGTAAAGAGGCCTGAGATGAAAAGGCCCTGAAGTGTTCCGTCAGGGAACCCTTTGTGGTTTTCCTCCAAGAAAAGATATGAGGCTTGGAAGAAAAGAAGAAAAATGGAGTATGAAAAGTGAGAGAAAAATAAAACATCTCCTAATATGCTTTAGATAAGTCAAAATTGTTTCTCAATAATTATTATTTTTTATAGGAGTTCCACTTTGGTGGGTCAGAAAAGACTATCTGATTGGATTATGCGGCAGGAACGATGACCTAGTTATCTTGCCTTGCAAAACCTTTCCCTGGGACGCTAGAACCCAGGCAAAAACACCTCCCTGGTGAGAACTCACTGGAATCACAGATGATGCTTGCAGGGAAACAGCTGCGGCTGGGTGGTCTGCTGACGGAGAACCCGTCTGAGGAAGACCGCCCCTCTTCCCAGCCCACAGGGCCTCTTCCTGACCACGCTCCTCCTTCCTTCTTCTGGTCTCTCTGAGGGGATCCCAGGCATTTCCTGCTGGCACTTCTGGAACAATCAGCTTGGTGGATTCAGGCCTTGAGGACTCAAAGCCTATGAGGGATTCAAAGGCTTTTCTTTGGGCTTGCTGTGTTTCCCACCATCCCTGCGACCCCCACAGAGGGGCGGCTGGCAGATTGAGAATGGGGGAAGGAAGGAGAGGAGACAGGGAAAACCGTTCCTAGTTAATATCTTAAAAAAAACAAAACAAAACAAAACAACAAACTATACCACCGTATCACCAATCCCAAATCCGACTTCTCTTCAGCTGAAACTTACCATGGTCTTATCTTCATACTAGTTTTCTTCATTTCTCTGAACTTCCCATGTTAGCTATTCTTAGATCACTTCCATTATTTCCTACCCCTCTGCTTCCAAAACTCCTTCTCTTCTTCTATCTTAGCTCTGCCCAAAGAGCTAATAGAGTGTATCTAATATATAATATAGTGTATATAGTATATAATATATGTATAAACCTGTGAACCCCAAAAATTTGAGACATGTCTCAGTTAATTTAGAAGGTTTATTTTGCCAAGGATGACGATGCGCACCCATGATACAGCCTCAGGAGGCCCTGATGACATGTGCTCAAGGGGTGGTCAGAGCACAGCTTGCTTTTATACATTTTAGGAAGAAATGAGACATTAATCAACATATGTAAAATGAACATTGGTTCAGTCCAGACAGGTGGGACTACTGGAAGTGAGGAGGGGGCTTTCAGGTCACAGGTAGGTGAGGGACAAATGGTTTTATTCTTTTGAGTGTTTGATTAGCCTTTTCAAAGGAGGCAATCAGATATGCATTTATCTCAATGAGCTGAGAGAATAGAAGGGAAAGCACCTTTGCCCTAAGCAATTCCCAGCTTGAATTATCCTTTTAGCTTAATGAGGGATAATTTGGGGGCCCAAGATATTTTTCTTTCACAAATAGTGTATATGTAAATACTATTATATATACAAATATTACATGTGTAAATATTATTACAATATATATAATATTTATAATATATGTAAATTTTGGTTGTCCTTTAAACATTTCTCTGGCTAACTACAATTTTAGGCAAAAAGATTCCTTTCCCATAAAGGTTATTAGATAAACACAACTGAAAAGTTACTCAGACACATACGTCAGTAAGCAAGACTGCTTACTTCAAATTATAATTAAGTAATAATAATAAAAGGGTTAAAATTAAAATAATAACAATAAAAGGGTTTCACATTCAGAAATATGATATTGTTTGAATGGATTTCTGGGAGTCATTTTAGCAAAATGGGCTCACCTTTTAAAGTAACTTGCTTTATCTGAGTGAAAAACATGCTCATGAGCAAAACCTACATCAAGACGCTTGTAACTTATTTGGGTAACAGCTTTGCCTAAACACATAGCTACTATCCTGATAAACATCTCTATTATTTAGTTAATATCACTATTAACAGAAAATATAGGGATTTGCAGTGGAACTACTTTTAGCTACTAAAAAGTTATTTGTGACATTTATAATTAGATACAAAGACAAAATTTAATTAACTTTAGCATAAAATGGGAGAACCAAGACCGGACTCCCTTAAATGCTAATACAGCATTTTCAAAGGAAAAGAAAACTTGACTAGGATGAGGAAACCCAAATTATTCCTCTTCTGTTTTTGTTTTCCTCAACCCATAAGATTACTGCTCATCTTTCTAGCTAGCTAACTGGTCCTCCGTATGACTTAAATATATTTTGATTAAATAATCAATGAGATTAAATGCTTCCATTGTGATTGAAGTTTTTCTTTTTTCTCTTTTAACTAAAATAATATAGAATTGACTTAGTCAAGGCTACTTAATTTCTTAGAACCACAGCAACTGGACATTTTTTAGCAGAACAGGATTTCCTTGTTTTTAAGAAAGCCACATACATCAAAAGGCTTATCCCCAAGCCAGGCTGCAGCCCTGTGGGCAGAGGCCAACCACGCACATGGCTGTATTAGGATTTGTTTTCAGGGATTCTTTCTGACTTTTCTTCTTTTGCTGGAGGAATGACTGAGATGCTTCAGGTTTTGCCCCAGGACGTCAAGTTCTCTCCCCGGGTTTTTTGGTTTGATTTTGATTCTGTTTCTGTTTTGTTCTGTGTTTGCTTTTCATGAAGGAAAAAGTAAATGCAACTTTAAGATGACTTTCTTCTTCTCAATGAAAAAGAAAATACTTCTCTGGCCTCTTTGGAATTTTCCCTTTCATTCTACCTTGGGCAGTGTGCACCAATGGGAAACTCTGGGGCTCTTACAAAGCTTGGTCATCGAGAAGCCAGGGCCCTGGGCATGGGGCTGGCAGGCCCACAGTGAGGTGCGGACTGTGTGATTACATCTTCAGAGGAAGTGGGTTTGTGTATCTTTGATTGACTCTGTGCCTTTTTCTTAGTATAATCTGAGTTCCAAGAAAACCAAGTTTTGATACTGCAGAAAGTCAGAGATAGCTTTATAATTAAAATCATATTTGAAAGAGAAGTCTCATTATTTTGGAATGGCTTGGCCTTAGCTTTTCTACTTCAACTCCAATCCTCTTTCCCCCAGTATCAAAGTGTGCTGTGATTAATAACCTTGTAAAACTAAACCCAAAAGTGGTGGCAAATGTCAAACATGTTGTTCAGTTTTTCTTTTAAAAAATAAGGTTAAAAACAGGATAGCCATTTTTTTCATTGCAGTATCAATAATCTTCTATATTCTAAGGAGAGTTAAGGCACCTACCATACACACCATTTTAATTTTCTTTAATCAGTGACTTCAGACTTGTTAAAATTATGTATCGTCATTAAATTTTTATGCTTAGAATATGGCCTTGTTAGAGTTAACTCGAAACATTTCCTGGAACCCTGGAGACAAAGCCTCCGTTTCCATTGCAGGACAACAGTGCCAGGCCCATTTTCTACATGAAGTCTCCTTCTGATTGCTTAAAAATTTTATTTCCAAGTGATAAGTATTTATCAGTGGAGAGGGAGTAGCTTTCCTGTCTCATGCACTGCAGTTTTTCTTACATTCATTATTCAAGTTCAAAACGTAATAGTAATTTACTGAATTAAGATCTCCTCTAAAATTCAGAATTACACAGAGGAGCCAGTGTGTTTTCTTTTGCAAGTGAAAATGGACTAAGCCCACTCTATGGGAGGCACTGTGTGGGGTTGTGAGCACGGGTGATGGGGAAACCCTGTCCTCATAGCTGCTTCCAGAAGAGGCAGGTGCACAGGCAAACACAGGGTGAAGAAAAGATGTGGCAGGAAAGAGAAAAAAATTCTTAATGTAGCCTTGAGCACACACGTAGGACAGTCACATCTGGGTGTAACACCTCTTAAATCCTGAACCAAGAGTATTGTAGATGCTAGAGAGCAAAAGGACTATGTATGTTTAAATTTGTTACTAACAAAAATTGCTGTGATTAAAAACTAATAATGTTGGCCGGGCGCGGTGGCTCACGCCTGTAATCCCAGAACTTTGGGAGGCCGAGGCAGGCAGATCACGAGGTCAGGAGATCGAGACCATCCTGGCCAACATGGTGAAACCATGTCTCTACTAAAAATACAAAAATTAGCTGGGGGTGGTGGTGCGTGCTTGTAATCCCAGCTATTCAGGAGGCTGAGGCAGGAGAATCACTTGTCCAAGGAGTCAGAGGTTGCAGTGAGTACAGATCAATGCCACTGCACTCCAGCCTGGAGACAGAGCTATACTCTGTTTCAAAAAAAAAAATGTTATCTTACTGTTACCCAGAAGAAAAAAGTGCAAGACGAAGAAGAGCCACATTTTTTCAACACAAACTTTAAAATTTTTCAAAGTCATAGCCACCATCAAATATGGAGTATTTACTGATTTACTGACAAAATCATTATTTTAAACCTTCAATTTACCATTTATCTTTTCCTTGACCACTCGGACAGAAGCAGCGAAAACGTGAAATCTTGGCTAGATGATGATAAAACCATCCTTAGGATTAAAAGTCATATTCATTAAATCCAGAGGCAAGAAATTTCATGCATAAATATGTCATATTTAGTTGATCATTGGAAAAGTGCTAGAAATATTGTCTCCTCACCCTAACAAAATAGTGGAAGGCATAAAATTTACTTGAACCTTTAACCCTAGCCAATATCTGACACAAAATGCAAACTTAAGAGCAGCCTATTGCTTTCTTGTAGCTTATAAAACTGCCAACATTTGGTAGCTAATTTCTGGCTTTTATTTTTAAGACCAAAGGTCTGGATTTCAGTGATGGAACAAGGGCACACAGGATGAAGAGAACAGGGTACCCTGGGTGGGAGGGAATACTCTCCACATTATCTTTTGCTGGGAATCCTCGGTTGCTTTTGTAACTGCCCAATGGGTTCACCCTGCCCATTGCCTAGACAGAGTCGATTTATCCACACAGGGGAATGGCAATGGCAAAAGAGTGATTCACGCAGAGCCCGCCTTGTGGGAGGCCGGAGTTTTACTATTACTCAAATCAGTCTCCCTGAGCATTCGGGGATCAGAATTTTTAAAGATAATTTGGTGAGTAGGGGCTTGGGAAGTGGGGAGTGCTGATTGCTCAGGTTGGAGATGGAATCATAGAGGGTCATAGTGAGGTTTTCTTGCTGTCTTCTGTTCCTGGGTGGGGTGGCAGAACTGGTTGGGCCAGATGACTGTTCTGGGTGGTGTCAGCTGATCCATGGAGGTGCAGGATCTGCAACATATCTCAAGCACTGATTATAGGTTTTACAATAGTGATGTTATCCCCAGGAGCAATTCGAGGAGGTTCAGAGTCTTGGAGCCAGAGGCTGCATGACCCCTATATTGTAATTTCTAACCTTGTAGCTAATTTGTTAGTCCTGCAGAGGCAGACTGGTCCCCAGGCAAGAAGGGGTTCTTTTCTGGAAAGGGCTGTTATCAATTATGTTTCAGAGTCAAACCATGAACTGAATTCCTTCCCAAAGTTAGTTCGGCCTACGCCGAGGAATGAACAAGGACAGCTTAAGGGTTAGAAGCAAGATAGGGTCGGTTAGGTCTGATTCCTTGGACTGTCATAATTTCCTCAGTTATTTTGCAAAGGTGGTTTCACTTTCATAAAGACTGAAAGACTCATTTAAAGTAAACAAATATAACATGTAGGTCTTAGCTGCTCAGTCGACTAGCTGTTCTTCCCCGCTAGTTTATGCTTCTATTGTGTTGTCCAAACAACTGAAGTGAAAGCTTAAGTATTTATATCCAGAATGTAGGGTAAAACTCCTATTGTGTGATTGCATGCATTCAGTTTCTGAGTGAACGTGTTTTTTAATACATTATTCAAAATATCATCACAAATCTCTCCTGTGTTTTATTTGTAAAGATAGCTTCTGATAGACTTCCATCACCAAGATAAAAGAAATGATAAATGCCGTGATAACTTTGTTGAAATCCATTAACTTAAAGCAGTGGTAAACATTCTTGAAGTGTTATTTTTACACTTAATTTATTCATTGTAATATGTGCAAAACATACACCGCTGCAGTCTCCAGGAGAGAGGTGGAGGAAAGGTGCTCCATCCTAGGCATGGCGTCGTTACCCCAATGACAAGGTAGACGAGGGAGACACATCCCAGGAGAATGATATTTCCAATCAGCCTCTGCAGAGAGCTCAAGTAGGAATGCACCAATTATTCAGCACTTCGCACATATGCATATGGACAGTCAGTGCTTAACATGTGTGCATGTAAGGAGTCAGAGCTTTCCATGTTAATATGCATGGCCACGATTCACCACATGTAACATATATATTAAAAATTGAGATATAAATTAGTTTGTGAAGAATGGTCATTAGTATCTGTTGTTGTATTTGCTGTTGTTGAGAAACAAGAGTGCAGAGACAGAAACAGGGATCAGTGAAGCAGTAAAATTATTCTAAGAATGAATCCTATGCTACAAAAGATACTTTTGTTCCATGTTCAAGCGCCATTTTTTCTTTGTAGGACAGAAATGTGTTACATCAAAATGTAAAGGAAGGAAGTTGACCAGAAAGCAAATGTTTTCTTAGTCCGAAGCCATATCAACCTTCTTTGTACACACGTGTTCCCCCCCACCCCACCACACACACACTGGATGTAGTTTAAACTTGACTTTATACAGTCATTCTCTTATCCAAAATACTTAAGGAACACCTGCCGTGTGTTAGGTGGTATGCTGGGCACTGGAGAAGGGGCAAAACAATCAAAGCGCTAGAAAAACAGAGATGCCCAGACCCCGGCCGTGAATCACTCTTCCTAAGGACACAAAATGACCCACAGGTCACTCTGACATCCTGTGTTTGAGTCACAATTAACATAAAATGACAAACTCCAATGATTCAAGACTGTTTAAAACATGATGTCTTGGCTGGACACGGTGGTTCACACCTGTAATCCCAGCACTTTAGAGGCCAAGGCAGGTTAGGAGTTCAAGACCAGCCTGGCCAAAATGATGAAGCCCCATCTCTACTAAAAATACAAAAATTAGCCGGACATGGTGGCACACACCTGTCATCCCAGCTACTTGGGAGGCTGAGGCAGGAAAACCACTTGAACCTGGGAGGCAGAGGTTGCAGTGAGCCGAGATCGTGCCACTGCACTCCAGCCTGGGTGACAGAGCAAGACTCCATCTCAAAAAAACAAAGCAAAACAAAAAAACAAACAAAAACACAAAGAAACTTGGTGTCTTGATTACTGGGACAGAGGTATCCTCTGGACCAGTTATTTGCAAAGTATGTGGCCAAGGACCAGTTCAGGTTTTGTTTGTGTGCTTATTTGTTGACAAATTTCAGATCTGATAATTTTGTCTAAAACAATTAAAATGAACTACTAGAAAAAGAAATGATAAAAAGCATACAAAATAGAAGCCAGTCTTTTTATTACCAGTCATAAAATTCACCGACATAAAATTACTCTGTCAGATTGCTCTAAAACTTTTTGAGAGGTCAGCCTCCATGTCTGTGTTTAACATGTAAGAGACCAATGGCACATGGTCTGCAGATAGCCAGCAGCCTGGAGACCACTTCCCTGAGCAGCTCTGCTCAACACTGTACACTGGAATTTGAGCAAAGAGGAAGAAACTCAGGCAGAATTGTACTTCATGGAGGAAGACTCAAACCTAGTTTGGATATATACCAAAAGAGGATTGATTTGTGGATCAATGCAAGTCTAAAACCTAGGGAGTAGGAAAACTTAATTTTAATTGCTGGCAATAAAGTGGAAGAGTTCCTGGCACATAACAGGCACTTAACAAAAATGTGCTGAATGAATGAAAAAGTCCACGAGCCAACAGTGGCAGGTGATGTTGAGAAGAGCATGGAGATAGAACGAATAAAGCCCCTTGGGAAAGAATGGCGAGACGGATTATGGTGTCCCGTAAACACCTGGGAAAGGGGAGCAAAGGCACAGATGTCATCAGATAAAATCAAGATGCAAAAGCTGTGAACGTTTAGGAATTAACAAAATGAAATGTAACAGAAAAATGTAGATTCACTGATCCTAGGAAAAAGCAAACCACACACTGGCTCAACCATATAAAAAAGACAAAAGATGGCCGGGTGCAGTGGCTCACGCCTGTAATGCTAGCACTTTAGGAGGCTGAGGCGGGCAGATCATGAGGTCAGGAGTTTGAGACCAGCCTGGCCAATATGGTGAAACCCTGTCTCTACTAAAAATACAAAAAATTAGCCAGGCGTGGTGGCACACGCCTGTAGTCCCAGCTACTTTGGATGCTGAGGCAGGAGAATCACTTGAACCCAGGAGGCGAAGGTTGCAGTGAGCTGAGATTGCGCCACTGCCATTCAGACTGGCTACAGAGAGAGACTCTGTCAAAAAAAAAAAGACTCAAGGCCCTTGCTGGGCAGCAAGCTCAGCAGTGAAATGAGGGTTCGCAGTCTTAAATTTCATCGATAAAAGCACCGTGTGCAGACAAAAAAGTGTGCAGCCCTAAAATACTCTGCTCAGGTTGTACCATTTTACAAGAGGTTTTGATAGGAAAGAGAATATATGTAGGCAAGCATTAGAGTACCAAAAGATATGGAGATGTAATGACATGGAGAATGGTGAAGAATCTAGTGACGTTTCATCCACTAAAGAATTTGGCTGGGGCGAAGGAGAGAGGGTGGTAAAGGCACTACGCTCAGGTATTTCATGCTGTCTCTTGTAGAGAAAACATAAAGTTTATTTTTGTCATGGTGGAGGGAGAAGAGAGGGTTGTGCATACTAAGCAGTGAGATTTTAATGTTGATAGAAGGAAACACTTTGTAATAGTCAAATTAATCCATAGCTAAAGCAAGATAAAGCACTTCATCTCTGGAGGTGGTGAATTTTTCCCATTACAGGAGGGGTTCCAGCATAAACTGGGTAAGCATCTATCAGAATGCTCCAGGGAGGAGTCCTGGATTGGGTGGAAACTGGAATACCTATTGATGGGCAAGTTCTCCATGACAGAAGCCACTTTTTCATCAGAGAAGTATTTACTGAGCAACCGTTACATGCCTAGCATTGTCTGGGCACTGTGGAGACAGTGAAGAAAAGGAAAAGGTTCTCACTTCTTGGAGCTTATTTTCCACTGAACAAATAATGAACATGTAGCTGAACATGGGAATTATGTTTTAAGTGTCAAATCGAGTTTTCTTGTTAATAACAAGACAATTCTTAGAAGCAGGATTTGAGGAAAGAAGAATGTTCACATGGCAAAGCCCTTCCTTTAACATGTTGAAGAGCAAGTCTGGAAACAGAGTTACTCCACACTGGTGGGGGTCCTTCCAAACAGGGAGAGGAAGGAAGAAAGCTCTCCCCTCCTTATCGCAGGGCATTGTGGGACATTCAAGAGGAAAGGGAGTTGATTCAACGCCAAATTTTGGAATGATCCAAGAATTGGCAGGTAACACTGATCTTGAATGTGTCCATCCAAGGAAGTATGGTGATATCTAAGGACATGAGAGAGTGAAAGGCATTCCCTGGGAGGCCCCACGGTGCAGTTCCACCTCCAAAGCTCCCTGGTCCTTGGCTGGGCCACATTACTGCTTGGCCTATTCCCATACCAACATACCAGAATGAGAAAGAGAATGTATTTGTGTGTGGGTGGGCCGGGCATGAGAGGGTCTAAAATGAAAGACCAAATATTTATCTGAAGATACCTAATCACCTGAAAAAAATTAAAAATATGAATACAAAATCAAGTATTAAAAGAATATTTAAAATAAGTAAAGAAATCACAACACCAAATTTATTTTTTTAAATTAACCAATACTAGAAAATGCATACACTCCAGAAGGGCAACATAAGATCTTATTCATGAATTACTTGACACCTGTTTCCAATTCTCCTTTTCATACCTTTTTAGCCAAATGCTGTTTGATCACCTCTTCACATGTTGATGAATAATGAATATTTTTCTATACAGAATATAGAGGCCAGGCACAGTGGCTCATGTCTGTAATCCCAACACTTTGGGAGGCCAAGGATGGAGGATCGCTTGAAGCCAGGAGTTCGAGACCAGCCTAGGCAACACAGTGAGACCCTATCTTTACAAAAAAAAAAAAAAATTAGCTGGGCATGGTTGCACGCACCGATAGTCCTAGCTACTCTGGAGACTAAGGCAGGGAGGTCGCTTGAGTCCAGTGGTTAGAGGCTGCAGTCAGCTATGATGGCACCACTGCACTCCAGTCTGGGTGACAGAGACAGAATCTATCTCTAAAAAAAATAATAAAACAACATAGATAATTTAGTCTTACCTCTAGCACAGTTGATCAAAAGTTGTTTATTATTATTGATAGTTGGAAAATTCCTTTTTTTCATAACTTGCTGTTGGGGATGCCATGTAAATTATTAGGATGGTGATCAAATTTGGAAAAGGCCACATTTCATTCACATGATCTGCATAGCTTGGGGGATACTTTCCTACAGACTAGCTTCTGATTCTGTTTATGGCAAATTAGTTCCTACTCTACTTACAAGTTCCTGATGCTGAGCAACATGGGCCACACATCTATAACAATTTGACCCCTGTTCCTACACTGTGTTCAAGGTCAAGTCCAATGGCACAGTGAGAAGAAAGTATATTGCAAAAGCCATTCCTACTTGGGGGTGCCCTGAAGGAATGAGTGCTACATAATCTGTCCCAACACAGGTGCCCTAACTTGGCTTGTAGTTACCCAGATCCTCAACATGCTTGTGGCCACTTCAATGCCAGTAAACACAAAGGAAATATAAAGGAGGAATACATGGTGAAAAGCATGGTCTTCGTCAATTTTAATACAAATACACTAGTTTTGCAAATATTATACAGAGGTCTATGCAAAAGTGTGACCTGAAATCTTAATATTTATTAACTCCATGTAAATCTGCCTTGACTAAAAGGGCAATTCCGTCATCCGCAGATTACAGTGATTTTTTACTCTCTTCCAGTCATTTTATTTACTTACATTGCTTTTTATTGCTTTGGCTAAGGATAAAATAACTTGAAACGTTAATCATAATGACCTTTGTTCCTTAATTTACTGTTTATCTAGTGTTTTTCCATTAACATTTGACTGTTAGTTTTAAAAAGAGTTTTTAATCAGATATGGGTGCTAAATTTCATCAACATGCTTGGTCATGAAATCTTGTTATTGCAAAACAATTGATACCTTCCTCCAGCCCTTCTTAAGACCTTGAGGGAAATCAACTTAGAAGATGCCCTTCTTTGAAAGTTAAGAAGCATGCCATCACTTTCATACTTCCCCATGCAATTATCATATTCTCTGTGGAACCCAGGCCTTCATGGTCTCGCTCCTACCCTTTAGGAACATGAAATGGTACCTGGTCCTTTATCTGTCAGAGCTTAAAGACTGGATTAAAGATTATGAATCAACAAGATCGTCTCATGGGGCTTCAGAAGCAACAGAGGCTTTGAAAGAAACACATACTTCCCATCACATGAGGCTCTTGAATGAGAGATGCCATAATTTAGTTGACTTTATTCTTTATTTCTTTACATCGCTTATGCTCTTGCACCCCTAGTTGTCAGCAGCTTGGTTTTCCAGAATCTGAAGATTATTGTGAAAAACAAGGAGACAGTTATTGATCAGGAAATCAGTAAACAAAAAATCAGAAGGAAGAATACTATTTTTACAATTTAACCTCTCAAAAACGGTAAGAAAAAAATCAGAGAAAGAACAAGCAAATTGTGTAAATTTGCCATTTTATAGTTCAGTTTAAGACCGTAGTAAGCATCTAAGTCGCTCAGGTCTAAATTAAAGCAAGGAGAAAAAATCCAGTCCCATCTATATGTCAAAACCAACGTGTTTTCAAGTAGATAAACAACAGTGTGGGCAGGCAAGGTGGGGCATGGCGGTAATCCCAGCACTTTGGGAGGCCGAGGCAGGCAGATTGTTTGAGCTCAGGAGAATGAGACCAGTCCGAGTAACATGGCAAGACCCTGTCTCTACCAAAAATACATAAAAATAACTAGGTATGGTGATGTGTGCCTGTGGTTCCAGCTACTTGGGAGGCTGAGCGGGGAGGATCACTTTAGCCTGGGGTTGTGTAAAGGTTGTAGTGAGCTGAGATTGCACCACTGCAGTCCAGCCTGTGTGACAGAGTGAGATCCTGTCTCAAAAAGAAAAAAAAAAAAAACGACAGTGGTACTGTACATAAAACAGAGTTCTTGAGTCATCTAAAAAGAAGCCTTGGCTTGAAACCACTTAGTCACCCAGCTGCCACCTGTAACCTGATGAGCTGAGGTGGGCCAGCTGATCCAGGTGGGAGAGGGTAGGGCTCTCACGAGGCCCAGAACTCTCAGCACAGCACTTACGTATGTGCAGCAAGAAATACAGACCACTACAGCCATGACCAAACGCCTGTTTGGTCAAAGGTTCTGCAGAGAGCTGTGGAGCTTATTTGATTTCCACTTTTTTTTTTAATTACTTCCTCAGTAGGCTGCCAAATGCTGCACATTCAGAGTCTGGTTATTTGTGCACATACCTTTGTTACTTCCCACCTCCACCCTTAACACCAGTGCTTTACGTGGTAAATGGAATGAAACCCATTTCAAACCCATGGGCTTCATACCTCGGTCAGGCAGATCACAGTGCACTGGCCACCGTCAGCGAGATTTGTATGTCCTCATGCACACCTTCAAAAGTTCAGGACGTTCTAACTCACTTGTACCAGCTAGGTCAGAAAAAAAGAACAACTATTCTTGGGTTTTTATAGAACAAGACTTTTTCTATGAGCCATCGGGGCTTGGTGAGGACCACCTGTATCTGCTTACCTTAGTCCTGTCTGGAATGTTTCCTGTAAGGCTTGAAATCATTCAGGAAAATACGTTAGTTTGACATCCTCTCCCCATAGAAGAGTTTCAGAATCCTACTGTACAAGGTCTTAGGTACATATATACATATGATAAAAATAATATAATTAATAACACACACTTGCAGAATTTAACACTTCTCCAAAATCTTTATTATACTGTATTTTACTTAATTATCTCGTTCATTTTTATCTTCTCAGTATTGATCAGATATTAATCCAAAACAGATTTTTAAAAATATGTCTGAAGTCTCACTGTTTTACAAAATGTCATAAAAATACTAAATTTGTGACATTTTCGTACAAATATTAACTCTTTCAAATATGCATCATCAAATATTTCCAAAATTGCTTCCAAATCCGATGTTGTAGTTGTGATACTCCGGAACTACGCACCCATTTAAACCAATAGACTTAGTGATGCCACACACCAGACTAGCAGATGTGCAGCTGAAAATGCCTTCTAAGTTCATTCTGAATTTCACCGTTTTACAAATTCTCTTAAGTTTCAAAGATGACAATGCTGGCTTAGGTCATTTCTTGTTCTGCAGTGCGATGATTATTTTTCCTGTGCCATGGTGAGTTGAGGTTGACTCTGGCTATGAGAATGCCTGCCGGCCAGGTTTCTGATGGAATAAATTATTATTGAATAATGAACAATAATAAGAATATTACTTACTGTCTGCGTAGTACTTACAGGAAGCAGTGATGTCTATACTGCCAGATGGCTCTCTGGCTGGAGACACTTCTATCTTCCAGGAAGGTGAGCTGCTGGAGGCCGCCAGCTGAATCTCTCCCCAGGAATTGCTCTCACCCCAAGGAGTCATCTTTTCCAAGGTATATGCCCCTCCCTGGGGTGCACCAAATCTCATGGCTGTTCCCAGCGAGGTCTCAAGGCCTAGGCACCTTGCCTCAAATGTGTACGGGCTCCCAGCTCCAGAGCACCCGAATGACCAGCACAGGTCTCACTTGCAGCTGCACCACAGCTAGGCATCCGCCCTGCCCATCGGGCCCCTCCCTCCCTTAGGTAAGTTACTCTTGAGGGTACCCACCAGGATATCTGCTTCCCAGAACCTGCTTCCTGGGAGCCCGCCCTACGCACCTACTCTGTGCTGGGAATTGCTGGCCACTCTGCATATGTTCTTTCTTCTATGTCAGTAATCTCATGAGGTAGATATCATTATACCCATTTGAGAGGTGAGAATAATGAGAGTTCAAAGCCATAGAAAACTAACACCAGGTAAGGGTCTGAAAGGGGCAATGCTAATCCACCAAGGGCACTCTCTTCCCACCACAGCATACCCCCGCTCGGCCTCTGGGGTCTCCTTTGGAGTCTTGCCAAAATTTATCCAACATGAAAACCAACTAGGATCCGCAGAGAATTTTTGGATTAAAAAACAAATTTTACCGACTTAAAGAAAGATTCACCAGTAGCCTCAGAGGTGCAAATCCTGGCGAAAGAGTAGCTCTAGCCCTTTCCCCTGAGATTTATCTGATCCCCTGTGACATCTCCTGTAGAGTGACTAGGCTTCTCTGCAGGATGTGACACCCACAAAGTGAGGGTTTTAAAGCTCTGTAGTGTGGTGGGTTCCCCACAGCACAGGTGCCGGAGCTCTGCCCTGGAAGGGAAATGAGCCTTGGGTGAATCTGAATGGGTGTCTTAGGTATGTGGCCTTCTTGCCAAGCCCCTTAAACTTTGCATTTCTGTTCCTAGCAGAGACAGTAACACTCTCTACTCCTTGGTGCTGCTGCAGGGGTGAAGTGAAATAACTGTTAATCTTTCATGAAACGTGTTCAACACATGCTATTTGTAATCATCGATTCAAATGTATAAGGAAGAGCCATGGCCATTCTTATTTGCATCATAAACAAAAATTAGAGTGTTGAATTAAGCTGTGGCAATTCTTAGAAATGTCCTCAAAATTTTAGCTCAATCAGAAAGCTGTGAGAAGGCAGAAGTCCCTCCTGCCGTGGTCACAGTAAGGTTCCATTTAAGCCTGCAGCAGGAGCTGAAATCAGAAAACTCTTCCAAAGCAAGAAAGTGCACTTGAAGAGTAGAAACTAACTTGATTTGTGTGCCCCAGCAGAAGCAAAATAATAGCTGATGCTTGATGGCCCTGGGGGTTGAAGTCATCTTTGGTTCTGAAGAATTCTCAGTGACAGGCCACTAGCACACGTATGCACAGGCGTGCAGGATGGAAACTCACTAGTCAGGGGTGGGTGGAGAAGCTGCAAGGAAGAAGACAGGCTGTTTGTCTCTTCTTGGTTCCTGGTTCGTGATCCTTGTACGGCATCAGGGGTGTTCGCAGATCCTTTTTGTGAGGTAGAAGGAGAGAACTGAGAAAATCCCCTCCTGGGAATAATTTTAAGTAACTACAATTATTTTTAAACATTTAGAAGCTAATGTTTAGTTTAATGACCAAAATAATGAAAATACTACAAAAAAGGCCATTGTGTGATTTCATTTTTAAAAATTCTGTCTCCAGAGAAAATATTTGCTTAGCTACAGATGCCAAAGATGTCCTCTCAGGAGTAGTTTAACTGTGCAGTAGAACATTATTAAGGAAAGCATAAATCTAGCGTTGCGTGAAAATAAAAACTGCAATGATTAAATTGAAGGCTACTTTTTAAAAAATGGAGACCAGATGCAACCAGGCAAAGTGCCATCTGTGAAGGCTTTGTGGCTTCAAGGCCACAAAAATAAAATGTGGCACAAAAGGATGCACTAGAAGTTCCAACCATTATCATGGAAACATTCTGCAGAATTCCAGATGGCCTTAGGTTCCCACCAGCTGTGTCTGGGAGGAGATGATTCCTGTGTGCATTGAGGACATCCCTGACAATGGATGCAGGTCAGGACAGGAGCCTGGTGCCCAGGGAGGGGCTGAATACCTCACACTTCCCCACCAGCTCTACTCTGCATTAAGGAAATGAAGCTACCTCTCTAGGGGGAAGAGAAGTAATAATAAACATTCCTCTCGAGATCACACACCTCCGCCTGCACGGGGACAGCCACAGCGCACGCCTGGTTCAGCTTCTGTCTTCCCTCAGCTGAGGCGCTGGGACTTTGGCTGTTTCTATTTGCATCCTGAATAGCATCAACACAGTAAAATGCACGTTTTGGTATTGTCTTCTCCTCCTCCTTTTCTTTTTCCTTTTCTAGGAGCATTGTGTCTATCGTTGGCTGTGTGGGGGTTTTTTGAGGTGACGGGGAGAAAAGGGAGATGAAGTTGTGGCAAAGAGCATTTACGAATACGTTTCCTTGGTTCTTAGTTGCTGCCTAAACTGCTGCTGTACTCTCCAAACACAAAACCGCGTCGTGGGAAGGTGGAGATGTGGCTGCTTCTGCAGCATCCCGTGTTAGAGAAACAGAGCCTGAGAATGAGACACATCATTGTCAAAAGAAGCTTCTTCTTTTCTTCACACAAGGGATGATTAGATGCTTAGTATCTGTTGCAAAAACTGAGAAAATCAAAACTTCTAAAAATTTCCTTTCAAATTTCTTTATGATCCAAGATGATACCTAATTGCATATTTTCCAAACATTCATTTTTCCAAAAGTAGAATGGGTGAAATTCCTTATGAAAGAAACCCTCAATAGTCTGTTTTTTTTTGTTTTGTTTTGTTTTTCATTTCTAGTTTTAGGCTACAGTGATAACGTAGGACCCTTTTTAAAAAAAATTAAGACCAAAGCCGGGCGCTGTGGCTCACGCCTATAATCCCAGCACTTTGGGAGGCCGAGGCGGGTGGATCACAAGGTGAGGAGATTGATACCATCCTGGCTAACACGGTGAAACCCCGTCTGTACTAAAAATACAAAAAATTAGCCGGGCGTGGGGTGGGCACCTGTACTCGGGAGGCTGAGGCAGGAGAATCCCTTGAATCCGGCAGGTGGAGGTTGCAGTGAGTAGAGATTGTGCCACTGCACTCCAGCCTAGGCAATAGAGCAAGAATCGGTCTTAAAAATAAATAAAAACAAAAATAAAAAATTAAGACCAAAATCAGCAGTATCACAGTATCATTCATCAAATGTAGGAGGTGGCAAGATTTTAGCTCTGCCATCCATGGCTTAGGAAAGATCATTACAGATAAACTCCCTGTTTTCGATTTATTTATGACTTGTTATTCATTTTGTGTATTTTTTTGTTGTGAGTAAAATATCAGCAATTCCTGAAAATACTCCAAAAAATTACAAAGGAGTATAGGAGAATGATTTCACAATCAGACTGTATTTAAGAAATAGGAATAGAATCTCATGGTTTGGATTTATTCTCTGCAGCTTTATTATATATTACACATCTTTCGCATTACTAGCCTGTTGTCGACATACATGGAGCTCCACCCCATACTAAAATATGTCTCAATGTGTGTTTTTTAACCCATCTCTTGGGAGAGTAAGGCTGTATAAAATGTTGTTGCCCTTGAATTTGAACAGAGTAGCTTCATGTCAACACAGCAGAGCATTTATTTCTTAGAATCAGGAACACCCGTTTCCATCAGAGATGTTCTGCCCTCTCCCAGAAGTGGCCGGGATAAAGTTCTTTCCCCCATTTCCATCCTGCTGCTCTCACTTCTCCATGAATAAATTGCCCCTTGTGTCTATCTCATGCAGCAGCAGATCTCCCTCAAGGTGCGATAAGTACAGAATTAGCTTCTGATGACCGGTACAAAATAGTTTTTATGATTTGAATGGAATGCAGTTCATCTTCTGATACTTGTTTGGAAGGTGGAAGGTGTATTTTCAGAGATTGTATTGCAGGGTGAATCTAGTGCAGTGAGTTGCGAATTTGCTTCTCCAGGGGGTAAAGATCATGTGTCAGACTTAAATTGTCTCCGAGAAAAGGTCAAATAACTTGATCTCTTCTCCAATAACACTGATTTGACCTAAGACTTTCTAGTTCTCGTGGGCTTGGTTTTGATCACTGGTTCACAAAGAAAAGCATTGCATGGTTCTGTTTAATGGTTCATGATTTACTTTGTATATGTAGTATGGCCTATACGTAATAGTAATGTTTAGTGTTTAATGATTCATGATTTACTTTGTATATATAGTATGGCCTATACATAACAGTAATGTTTAGAGAATTTTGACTGGGGCATCTATTCAATTATTTGATTTGGCATAATTTTTTTAACTAGAATACACTGCACAGATCAATAAAACTCCTATATCCTGATGACTGATTGGGACTGGAAATAAAGTATAGCTACAGAAATTGTAAGCTGGATTCCTTAGAAAGCGCCTTAGGAAGGAAAGGTACAACTAACGTTTTCCATGCTTTGAATAAATCCACCTCTTTAAAATAATATTTAAAGTTCAAACACTCCTACCCTATTCTATCCAAATCAGGTGCAGAGAGTGAGCTGAGGAAATGTTTAAATTAAAGACTAATTTACAGCCAGGCGTGGTGGCTCACACCTGTAATCCCAGCACTTTGGGAGGCCAAGGCGGGCAGATCACCTAAGGTCAGGAGTTCGAGACCAGCCTGGTCAACATGGCAAAACCCTGTCTCTACTAAAAATACAAAAATCAGCTGGGTGTGGTGAAGCATGCCTGTAATCCCAGTTCCCCGGAAGTTCGAGGTAGGAGAATTGCTTGAACCCGGGAGGTGGAGGTCGCAGTGAACTGAGATGGGGCCACTGCACTCCAGCTTGGGCAAAAAGAGCGAAACTCCATCTCATAAAAATAATAATAATAATAATAATAATAATAATAAATAAAAGACTGATTTACAAAGCCACTGGTCCTACCAGTGCTCGAGTGACAGGCCCAGCTTAGAGGGCAACAAAACATCGTTCATTTGGACTCCACATACTGTAAGTTGTTGGTGCAGGTTGAGGTTACACTGTGCCATTTTACTATTCAAGGAAAGACTGAAAACCCTCTTGAGATGTTGATGGGAATTTCTATAAAAGTCCTGAATGGCTATTGGTAAAATTAAAACACAGCAGAGGGAGGTAAGTAGCTTCCTGATGTCCCACGGGATACTGCCATCATCATTCAGAGACATTTTTTAAGTAGCTGTTGAGTAAATTGCCATGACTAGCACATTACTTCAGCAGAGAAGCACAGTATAAGAACAAAATAATTTTAGGCTGGGCACAGTGGTTCACACCTGTAATCCCAGTGCTTTGGGAGGCCAAGGCAGGAGGATCGCTTGAGGCCAGGAGTTCAAGACCAGCCTGGGCTCGTGAGACTCCGTCTCTACAACAAAATAAATAAATAAACATTAGCCCGGTGTGATGGCACTGGCCTGTAGTCCCAGCTACTCGGGAGACTGAGGCGGGAGGATCGCTTGAGCCCAGGAGTTCGACTGTGAGCATCACTGCATTCCAGACTGGAAGACAGAGTGAGATCCTGTCTCAAAAAATACATGAATAAATACATAAATAGTAATCATTTCAGAATGGGCTGGATTACACAGTCCTCTTCCCCAGTGAAGGTGAGGTGGAAGCCTTAGGCCCTGCCCTAAGGCAGACTCCACCACAAAGAATGCAGCTGCCAGGACAGGACTCCGAGCCCAGGCCACACAGCATGAAGTCACCAGCAGAGTCCCCCGTTTGTCCCTCCCCACCACTCCCAGCCTTTCCCTGAAAAATCACTCAAAAGATGGTGGAGCACAAAGACTTCAGGAGTTCCCTCCCTAATACCGGGTCCCTTTCTTTACCCACATGGCATTGGGCCTGCTGCAGACAGCACAGCTCCTATTTGCCTAAACACACACTCCACAGCAGGCTTACAACGTCAGCGTTTCACTAAATGAAGCAGAGCTGAACAAAGCCCCCAGGTAGGAGGATAGTTTAACCAGGAGGTAGCAGACCAGGGCCCGGGGCCATCTGCCAACTGGCCACCTGCGGACAAGCACATCTTGATCTCTGACTTCCGAACATCAAAGTCGGGGAATAAACAAGAGAATGTCCAACACTTCCTGCACTTCTAAATTTTATGAAATGTAACAAGACAAGGTTTTCACAAAAATAAAATGGAGCTGATAAATACGCACTCACGTGTTTCATTACTTTTGTGGAAGGAAAAGTTTATGGTTCTCTCTGCCTGCTTGGAGCGTGAAACTAAAAGGGAAGAGGCTGTCTCTTGGGAGGACTGAATGTTGTTTTTCTATAGAGGACCCCTGTCCAGCTCCTGAAAGACAAAGCCTGGAACGCTGGAGATTGTGCTGAGGCCTGGAGAGCACCGGAGAGCTGGAGAGCGCAATCAACTGTCTCCTGCTGGGTTCTTGCCACAGCCCCGATCACGATCACCCCTGCTGACCAATCGTTCACCTTGCTCTTAATTTCTCTAAAGGAACCCAGTAGTGTACTCGCATTTCCTAAAAAGCGACTTGCGGCCTTCTTTGTGTCCCTGAATATATAATGAAAAGATCGCTTACTTCAGCTCCAAAGACAACAAAGCCTGTTGCACTGCAGGGTTAGTTTGGAAAAAAGAAAAAAGAAAAAACAATAAATATGGATGAGTGTATGTTCACTTGCCATTTCAATTATTTACATGGGTCACAGAGGCCCAAAACATTATCCAACTCTGGGATAGAATGCCAGAGTGAGTGAGAAGCACATTTTTATCAAGTTTTTATAATATATAACTGCATTGTTTTGGCTAGACACTGTCCTAGAAAACTAGACATTTTCTGATTATGAAATAATTTATACATACCAATTTAGAAGTTATACTCGGTTCTTCAGAGCAGATAAAGCTGTAGAATGTATTTCTTCAAAAAAAAAAAAAAAAAAAAAACAGAAATCATTAGACCTTTCCTGTAGACCTACTAATACTTTTGAAGGTAAGATGAAGCTATCTTCTTTTGGACAACAAAAATCAAGAAAATAGTTTTAACTGTCTGGATTAGCTCCAGCTTGGAGAAAAATCTGGTACTGAATCACTGAGAAAATTAATTTCACATATTATAGGATTATAATACAGTCTATCCCGAGTCAGGCAGCAATAACTATTGCTTTCTAAAAGCACCAAGTGAATTAGGTGGCTGTGCCGGGCAATTAGGAGAGGGGCCTCCTGAAGAGCCAAGGGCACTCACCCCGCACAGCACTGCTGCCAAGGCTCTAGGTGTCCTTGAGCTGTTGACTGAAGGCTTCTTTGCCTCTGTTTCTGCATTTATAAAGTCAGGAATGAAACAGGCTTTTGAAATTACTTAAGGACCTCTGATAGAAAGGAGAAGAATTGCACTGGCATCTTTATGGAGCTGTACATCAAAGAAATAAAGACCGTGCAGAAAAAGGGCATTGCATGGGAATGAATGGTTTCAAATGCAATAGCAAATTAAATGTAAATTAAAGCTAACTGCAATCTCCGTATGTCAGACTCTCTCTTTTTTTTTTTTACTTTAAGTTCTGGGATACATGTGCAGAATGTGCAGGTTTGTTACACAGGTAAACATGTGTTATGGTGGTTTGCTGCACCTATCAACACATCATCTAGGTTTTAAGCCCTATATGCATTCGGTATTTGTCCTAATGCTCTCCCTCCCCCTGCCCCCTACCCACCAACAGGCCCCAGTGTGTGATGTTCCCCTCTCTGTGTCCATGTGTTCTCATTGTTCAACTCCCACTTATGAGTGAGAACATGCAGTGTTTGGTTTTCTGTTCCTGTGTTAGTTTGCTGAGGCTGATGCCTTCCAGCTTCATCCATGTCCTTGCAAAAGACATGATCTTTTTTATGGCTGCATAGTATTCCATGATGTATATGTATCACATTTTCTTTATCCAGTCTATCATTGATGGGCATTTGGGTTGGTTTCATGTCTTTGTTATTGTAAATAGTGCTGCAATAAACATACATGTGCGTGTGTCTTTATAGTAGAAAGATTTATATTCTTTTGGGTATATACCCAGTAATGGGATTGCTGGGTGAAATGGTATTTCTGGTTCTAGATGCTTGAGGAATCACCACACTGTCTTCCACAATGGTTGAACTAATTTACATTCCCACCAACAATGTAAAAGTGTTCTTATTTATCTGCAGCCTCAACAGCGTCTATTGTTTCTTGATTTTTTAATGATCACCATTCTGACTGGTGTGAGATGGTATCTCATTGTGGTTTTGATTTGCATTTCTCTAATGATTGAGCTTTTTTTCATATGTTTGTTGGCCACATACATGTCTTCTTTTGAGAAGTATCTGTTTATATGCTTTGCTCACTTTTTTATGGATTTTTTTGTTTTTTACTTGTAAATTTGTGTACGTTCCTTGTAGATTCTGGATATTAGACCTGTGTCAGATGGGTAGGTTGCAAAAATTTTCTCCCATTCTGTAGGTTGCCTCTTCACTCTGATGATAGTTTCCTTTGCTGTGCAGAAGCTCTTTTGTTTAATTAGATCCCGTTTGTCAATTTTAGTTTTTACTGCAATTCCATTTAGCATTTTTGTCATGAAATCTTTGCCCATGCCTATGTCCTGAATGGCATTGCCTAGGTTTTCTTCTAGGGTTTTTATGGTTTTGGGTTTTACATTTAATTTTTTAATTCATCTTGAGTTAATTTTTGTATGAGGTGTAAGGAAGGGGGTCCAGTTTTAGCTTTCTGCATATGGCTGGCCAGTTTTCCTAGCGCCATTTATTAAATAGGGAATCCTTTTCCCACTGCTTGATTTTGTCAGGTTTGTCAAAGATCTGATGGTTGTAGATGTGTGGTGTGATTTCTGAGGGTCAGGCCCTCTTAAAGGCCATGGCTTTGGGTGTCTGAGCCTGCACGACACTTTTATTTTGAGAGTCTATAATAAAAAGCTAAAGTTATTTCTACATTATTGGTTATGTACCTTAAAATACTGTACCTGAAACTCAGTGGGTTAAGTTACAGGACGTGAAACTGTTGGAAGAATATGGGTAAATCATGTTCAAGTCACCTGGGGTCATATAGGAGCTACTCTACTTTTATTTTTAAGTTTAGAAAACAAATGTAAGGAGTTGGCTCCTAACTTGGGTGAAATATTTTACATGTTTATATATCTATATATATATGTCTATAGTGGAGATCACTGTTACAAAATATGGAGATTCACATATGAGTCGGTTGATTTAATTTTCAAGTTTTTAATGTTTTAACAATACTTCAGTGTTCAGTAATTTTCCTATTTTTGGCCCTATTATGCTCTCAAATTTAATAAACATGACTTCTAACATTTTTTAAAGGTGGCCTTGGATTTAAAACATAGCCCCCAAACTTCTTAGCATTTCTCCTATCAAGAGTTGGGGTCTATGTTCCCTCCCCTTGACTCCATCTCAAAAGTGCATATTTAACACCTGTCTATAATATGGCAACTATTCTTTATAACCTACAGCAGGATAGGATTATACAACAATAGTATCATTGTTTTAGCCAATTAGAATTGACTGGCATTAAGCCTGGAATTATCAATGTGGATTCCAAGGTCAATATTTTGATCCAATTTTTGTATATTCTTTGTGTGTTTGAGTCTGCCTTCTGAGAAATTTGGCTTTGTCAGTGCTAGAAGTTGACTTTCCTTGGTAAATGTGTTTTGAATCTTAAAAAAGAATGGTTTTGGAACTCTTCTGACCAAGACTTTGATTTTTGCCAATCATTCTAGCTTGGCTCTTACCAGGCAGTGAGCAGGAAGCCAGGCCTGGCAGCCTTGCCAGCGGTGCCAAATGATAATACAAGTTTGTCTAGCCATGGTCGCGTCAGAGCCTCGTGTGTGTCCAACTCGACTTGAGCATTATTTTTACACCACAGAACAACGAAAGGGAAATTCATTAGTGTTGACGAGGATAGCAAGAACAAACATCACCGTGGTAGAGTTAGAGAGTTAAAGTTTATAGGCTGGGAGCAGTGGCTCACGCCTGTAATCCCAGCACTTCGGGAGGCTGAGGCGGGCAGATTACTTGAGGTCAGGAGTTCGAGACCAGCCTGCCAATGTGGTGAAACCCCGTTTCTACTAAAAATACAAAAATTAACTGGGTGTGTTGGTGCACCCCTGTAGTCCCAGCTACTTGGGAGACTGAGGCAGGATAATCACTTGAACCCAGGAGGTGGAGGCTGCAGTGAGCTGAGATCACGCCACCACACTCCAGCCTGGGTGACTGAGTGAGACTCCATCTCAAAAAAAAAAAAAAAAAAAATTAAAGTTTATAAAGTTCTCGTTATGGCCAGGCACTAATTTAATCACTTTTTATGTATTAAGCAATTTTATTCTCAGAACAACCTATGAGTTAAGTATTATTTTTAATTTTTTATTTTGCAGAAGAGTAAACTGAGGCACAGAGTTCAAGTAACTTGGCTAAGTTTTAAAAACTAGTAGGTGGTTGACCCAGGATTTTAAACCACATACTCTAAAAGCTAAGAATATTCCATTTAAGAACACAAGATACTGGAGGAGACATTGAATGTGTTCACCGGGTACTATTAGTTGAAGTTAATAATACAATTAGTCTTAGTGCTTGGAACTCCTCTCACATAAAAAAACAATAGATGTTTAAGTCCTGCTTGGTGGCTGTATTGTTTCATGAATGTATTAGCATCTATCACAATTCATTATAAATCTCTGCTTACTTATGTTTCTACTTTACTGAAATGTGAGCTGCGTCAGGAATGAGACTTATTCAAAGTTAGTATATTGAGTGTGTAGCATTGTACCTGAACTACGTATAATGCTTAATACATTTAATTTTTTTTTTAAAATGAGATAGGATAATAATTCATAGCGTGACTAGGGCATCAGAGGTGGCCATCTCCAAACTAATCCTTTGAACTCGGTGGTGGAGGAGGGTTTTCGCGGCACCTTCACTGCTGCACCCCTCACCTCCCATTTGGGGGCCAGGCAAACACCACTTCCTTTCTTGAGGCTTGGCACGCACCTACCCCAGAGACATTTTTTTAAAGGGTTGATGTTGGGGCTGCATTTGCAATAAAAGTCAAGGCTGGTGAAGAGAAAGAAATCCTTTTAGCAAAAGCAAACTTCCCTGGGATATGGTAAGAGCACCCACCTCACCCGAAGGACATCGGCCGCCCTCCTCCTACCCCAGCCACCCCAGCAGGCCTCTCCAAGGTGCAGCCAGCAAACTGGAACACAGTTGGCAGCAAGGGCCTGGTGAGCTGCTGCAGGGATGGTGGGCAGGGCCCAGGACCCCCCTCCAACCCCCCAGCATGTACATGCTGCCTGGATGGGACGACACAACACAGGCTGAAGTGAAGGGCATGCGACACGTGCTGTAGATGTCCTCACATGGTCTGCTGGGTGTTTTCTTTTTTCTTTCTTTCCAACTTTTATTTTAGGTTCAAGGGGTACCTGTGCAAGTTTGTTATATGGGCTCATTGTGTATCGAGGGGGTTTAGTGTACACATAACCGTGTTGCCCACACAATTAGCATAGTATCCGAGAGGTAGGTTTTCAATCTTCACCCTCCTCATGCCTCCACCCTCGAATAGGCCCCAGTGGGTATCATCCCCTTCTTTGTGTTCACATGTCCTCAATGGGAATTTTCCAATAAACAGCCTCACTCCCCTCCTGTACAGGGCCTATCACCCTGGGGTTTCAGAGAGAGTCAGATATTGGGGTGCTCCCTATCTAGATTTAATAGCTCACCTGCAATACCTGTGATTTCATTCCTTTCATTTATAAAAGTTTATACTCCCTATTGTGTTCTTATATTCTCAAAATATAAGCACAGAAAGCTACTTTCAAAGTCAATGAAAGGAAAAGTGTCCACCTTTTGCCTCTCCCTGGCTGCCTCTCCGATCTTTTCTTGCTACCTGAATTTCTTGATCTTGTTTCAGACCCAATCAGCAGCCCCGCTGGGATTTGTGAAAGCTTCAGGGGACCCTTCCCCTAAGAGCTAAAAAGCGAAGGCGGAAAAGGACCCTGCAGGACCAGACTGAAAGGTAAATGTAGAAGACAGCACGGTCTCCTGAACAGATCCCACCAACACCACTGCCAGGGTTCAGCACCACCCACGCTGAGCCCCGGGTCACTGTTCAGCACCACCCAGGCTGAGCCCCGGGTCACTGAAGATCTGGTTTCAGGAGGGCTGCAGAGTGAACGCCAAATGCTTCACGCTGCGAACACTGGAGGGATAAAAGCATCTTTTTCTCCCTGGCCTGGATTTCAGATTTCTCTGTAAAAGGCAGAACTGTGCACTAGCAGGCAGCTAACCCTTTTTCCTTTTTTAAGAAATAAAAAGGATACAGCAAAAGGGGAAAATCCAAAAATAAAATTCAGTCATCTAATCAGAAAGAATCCCACCAGCCTGGCAGAGTTCATCCGTGTGCAGTGCTTATAACGTTTAAAAAAAAAAATCTTTTATTTTGCGTTTGGTTCATACTTTCTGAAGACCTCCTCCTAAAGCATTACAAAAGGTAGCATTTTGTGTGTCTCAGGTCTTTTAAAAATCACCCCATATTATCTGAGAGTAAAAAAAAAAAAAAAAAAAAAAAAAACAGCTGGAGGCTTTTTCTGCAAAAAGGTGTTTAATTCTATACTCCAGGCAGCAGTGACAGAAGCTACAAAAGT